>NC_000011.10:109596667-109899697 GCF_000001405.40 Homo sapiens
CAATAATCTCATTTTTTTTCCTTTGGAGACAGTCTCGCTCTGTTGCCCAGGGTGGAGTGCAGTGGCATGATCTCAGCTCACTGCAACCTCCGCCTCCTGGGTTCAAGCAATTCTCATGCCTCAGCCCCCTGAGTAGCTGGGTCTATAGGCACCCACTGCCATGCCTGGCTAATTTTTTAAAAAATTTATTTGAGTAGAGATGAGGTTTCTCCATGTTTCCCAGGGTAGTCTCAAACTCCTGAGCTTAGACAATCCACCCACCTTGGCCCTCCAAAGTGCTAGATTACAGGCATGAGCCCCCACACGCCTGGCCAAGAATCTGATTTCTGAATGCTAATCCCATACTAGGGAGTTGATATCCAAAATCAATTCCTGACTGCATGCTTCATTTATCTGAGGGCCATCTACCGGTGGCCCATAGCTGTCACTACTAGTGTATCCACCTAATATATACGACCTATTGGACCAGACCCCTCTACCCAGTCTTCTTTCACATTCTAACTGTCTGTTCATTTTTTTTCTAATTCCTTGATATTGGTATCACCTC
The DNA here is from genome assembly GCF_000001405.40 of Homo sapiens. Lineage (NCBI taxonomy): Eukaryota > Metazoa > Chordata > Mammalia > Primates > Hominidae > Homo > Homo sapiens. Next base: position 109,597,215 of record NC_000011.10, read on the forward strand.
ACATAATCTGAAGTTTATTCATTCCAAAGTATTTATGTGAGTACCTGTGGTAAGCACTTTGGGCACAAAGCTGTATACGATAGAGTATAATATGTTCACAGGGCTTCTCATCTAGTAGAGGATACAGACAATGAAATGAGCAATTACAGCATGAGGAAATTAGCCAGGGGAAGTGTTGGGTGCCATGGAAGCATTCATGGGAAAACTAACATGTCCTTTGAGTATCAGATGAGACATCCTGGAGGAAGTGGTATTTAAACTGGCACCCGATGGTCAAACCAGACAACGGGAAAGAAGTGTGAGAAACGGTAAGGAGAGATTACTTCAGACAGGAAATCTAGCATAGTTGAATACCAGGGGTTGAGAAAGAGAGTGCGTGGCATATTGAGACACTGAAGAAAAGCTTGAGAAGCTGAGTGCTGATAGAAGCAGCAGCTTGGGGCCCAGGTCATACAGGTAAGAAGTTTGGTCTCTATAGTAACAGCATTGGGAAAGCTTTGAAGCATCTTTAGATAGGAAAGTGGCATGCCATATGGCTGTGTAGCCTCCTAGTCCTGGCCCCCTGATCTAATAGGTACATCTTACTCGCAATCGAAATCAGGATTCTAACGGCTAGTTATACCAATTTACCATTGGAGGTTTTGTCAAGATGGACCAGAAAAGCTTTAGTCATGCCATGTAGATATATTCTCATCTTGATAGCTAATCTGGGTGATTCCACTAAAAATCTCTCTCCTTCATTTGATGATGACAGACAATTTTGGTGCTGATAACTTTACTATTCTTTATGATGGTTGTAAGGTGTATTTTGAGATATCAGCCCACAAAAGGCATCTTACTGTGGGAAATGCACCCAGATTGTTCTCCAGATGCCATCATCAGAAAGAAAACACTAAAGTCTAATTAAAATGCAGCATAGGTTGTATCACTTAGGCTTTATAATAACTATTTCCAATAACTACAGAAAAAAAGACTTACTGATAATCTATCTCCACACCCTCTAGATATCCTTATGTTTATTTTTAAATGTTGAAAGGCAGAGCAAGAGAACATGCAAGAACCCAGTCATATCTCCTTTAAATGCACAGTATCCACTAATTAATTCATAATAAATATTTCAGAAAACCTGTTAACTCCTAGGTAGCTTATGAAGATGAATTTTTTCCCCTTCTGGAGAAAAAGTGGCCAAAATATTAGAAGCAATTCCTAGTAAGAAAAACCAAACACCGCATATTCTCACTCATCGGTGGGAATTAAACAATGAGATCACATGGACACAGGAAGGGGAATATCACACTCTGGGGACTGTTGTGGGGTGGGTGAGTGGGGAGGGATAGCACTGGGAGACATACCTAATGCTAGATGACGAGTTATTGGGTGCAGTGCACCAGCATGACACATGTATACATATGTAACTAACCTGCACAATGTGCACATGTACCCTAAAACTTAAAGTTAATAAAAAAAAAAGAAAACAATGCAAAGTAAAAAAAAAAAAAAAAAAAAAGAAAGAGTTAATATAATGTGTCAGTAAGATGCTATAGTTTGCAGTGTGATAACTGTAATCTTCCTTTACTTTTCTGTTTCTAATTTGGAGCTACAATAGATGGGTGAATTGGGTGTATGGGTGAGACATAAGCTGTTACTTTCTGCTCTAACAGATGATAAATGTGTTTTCTAGTCTGGCCTTTGCACTATCTTCTTCCCATTACTCACACACACGCACGTGCAAAAAAACAGATGTCACATAGATGGCCACTCCAATTCCTTGGGTTGTTTTAATTATAAAGAAATTTAAATAATTTCACTTACCTCCTTTATATTTTTTGAAAACAAGAAAAATATATTCAAGAAACCATACTAATTAAGAAATGCAAAACATACTTTTCAATTCTATATTACAAAAAATTAAAGAACAGAGGAAAAAAATGAATGTACATGTATATATACATATAGAATATGTATATATGTATGCATGCCCATATGTGTATATATAACAGAGATGGATAGACACTGAGGGAAAGAGAATACAAGGCAGAGGGACACAGAAGAAAATCCACAGAAGTACAAGTAAAGAAAAGTAGAAATCCAGAAACCTACAGAGAGGGGCAACAGCCTGGATGCCTTTGACCTTCCTATTCACCCGGCCTGAGAACATCAGAGCAGGTGAGTGGCTGCTCTAACCACCCTTCAGTACTCCTATGACCTCTGCACCATTTGGAAATCATCCTTTCTCCAAGACAAAAATAATTGTTCTCCTTTTATTTACAAATTTAAAATGGAGAATTTTTAAAGACTTGTTCTACTTAGGAATTAAAATTCACTGAAGGCTGAGATCAACTCCAGAGGCCCCAGGTTCCCCAGACCTGTTGTCTGGGGCTCTTGGATATGCAGTGTTTCCCCTCCACTGTTTGTTGTTGTTGCCTTTGTTATTGCTCTAATGACCACTGCCTACATATTTGAGTAAAATCCTTCTCTCGAGATCTACATGTGAGACCTAAATGTATAATTTGGCCCCTTTATGCTTGTGTTTCTTCAGAATCCTGCATATTGCAATCCCCTCTCTAGCTGCAGATGAACATAACAGACCTAGACAGGATATGGTGTCCCCAGTACTTATCAAAGTACCTTGTCTGTGGTAGGTGCCAAAAAATATTTTAGGAGTATTAAATTAGGAGCTGTACTTTTCTCCTTTTGAGATGGAGTCTCAGTCTGTTACCCAGGCTGAGTGCAGTAGCATGATCTCGGCTCAATGCAACTTCCACCTCCCGGGTATAAGCCATTCTCGTGCCTCAGCCTCCCGGGTAGCTGGGACTACAGGCATACACCACCACATCTGGCTAATTTTGTATTTTTAGTAGAGACAGGGTTTCACCTTGTTGGCCAGGCTAGTCTTGAACTCCTGACCTCAAGTGATCCTCCTGCCTCGGCCTCCTGAAGTGCTGGGATTACAAGCATGAGCCACTGCTCCCAGCTGTACTTTTCATTCCCACTAAAAGACAAACCATGCAACATATAACAATTTCTGGTATTTATATTCCAGATCCTATTAATTTATGATGTTCTCAACCAAAGCTGCATACATTATATTATGTTGATTAGTTCTTGAGATAAGCTTGGATTTGAGAGCATTTGATAGTCTCAAATATTTTTAAAGCACTAATTTGATTATTCAAGAATGTAATTGTACTTTGTTCTGCAAATATTTTTAACTTATTCTCACTTAAAACTAGAATGCTTGGGCCGGGCGCAGTGGCTCATGCCTGTAATCCCAGCACTTTGGGAGGCTGAGGAGGGTGGATTGCCTGAGGTCAGGAGTTGGAGACCAGCCTGGCCAACATGGTAAAATCCCATCTCTACTAAAAGTACAAAAAAATAGCTGGGTGTGGTGGTGCATGCCTGTAATCCCAGCTACTGGGGAGGCTGAGGCAGGAGAATCGCTGGAACCCAGGAGGTGGAGATTGCAGTGAGCCAAGATAGCACCACTGTACTCCAGCCTGGGCAACAGAGCCAGACTCTGTCTCAAAAAAACAAGCAAACAAACAAAAACTAGAATGCTTGAACATCCTATCTTGGGGGAAAAAAAGGTAGCCTGATAACCTGAGTGTAACATGTGTTTCACAGGAATTTGTAAATACATGTCCTAAGCCATTGATGTGAATGTAGTCACTGGAAGATAAAATGAACACATTTGTATCTCAGAACTCTTGCTATAACCCAAAATGCATTATTAGCCATCAGTTCCATTTTCAAGCTTCAATGCAACTTTTCTTGGCAAAGGGTTTTATTTAAGTGCTTTTTACCCTCTCTGAAAGCTGTTCTAAGATTTAAGATTAAGGTGTAGTAATGGCTTTCACTGCTTTTTTTTTTTCTGCCAACCATGAGCATCCACATGGGAGATTAAGGAATGAACTGGAAAGGAGCCAGAATACGGCTTTTCCATTCTTCCTGCCTCCCTCATCATTCCTCTATATTTCTCTCACCTCTGTTCAGCTTTCAAGGTGAAATGAGGATGTGAGAAGGGCAGATGGATGGTGCCTGGATGGCAGTGAGTCAAATAACAGCAGAACTCTGAAGACAATGATCTTTCATTCACTGTTTCTACAGCTAAATTGCTTTTTAGGATTCTGTGTTTCCCATAATAGCTGAATTTTAAAACACATGTTTAATTGGCTTCATGTATAAGAAAGTTCAAAATGTTAATGGCTTTACATTAAAAAGTGTATCTCCCTAAAAACAATCATAAAAATAGAATTAAAAGCATGAAGGTGGGCAGTCTAGGGCAGGTCTGGTCACTCCATTCCATGATCTTCAAAACCAAGTTCTTTCTATCCATCATCTCTGCCATCTTCACCTGTCTCTTAGTCACCCAGATTAGCTGCTGGAGTTCCAGGCATTATATCTGTATTCCAGCAAGCAGGAAAGAAGAAAGGAAAGAGGACTTTTCAGATGCCCCACTAACAACTTTAGCTGGTTTCTTATTGACACCAAGCCACCAGGAAAATGTAAGTTTTTACCTGGGCATACTATAATCTGAAATATAATTAAAGTTTTATTAGTAAGGAAGAAGGGAGAATGAATATTGCATAGGCAATTTTAAGTCTCTACCACATTTCCAAACTCCACTCCCAACACACTTAAGGCTGCCATCTTGCACAATTCTAGTTGCTCCACATTATAGTCTATGAGCACAGAGGTAGAAATACTAGATGCATTCACCTAGTACAGATATCTTTCCCAAAGGAACGTATTTAATTTATACTTTTATATATATATTCAACATCAGAAATAATTGATAATAACTGGTCTCATGCGATGGAATAATTGTTTCTGAAATGGTTAAGTTTTAATATGTACATATGGAACAAGCATAAATAACCATCAGATACGACTTTGGCATGATTCTGAAGTTATCTGCCATTCTTCTATCACTACCCAGTTGGTGAAACAGAATTTTGTGTCTCATTATAATATTTCTCATCCTCTCACTCACAGCAGATGAGACTAAAGTCTCTCCTCCTGGTGCCTTGATAATTTTTGTCATTTAATATTTATATGTATCTCATTACATATTTATCACTTACCTGTGTGACATTTGGACTGGAAAGCTCTTGAGGAAAATAGACTACATCTTAAAGTCACAGTTCTCTGAAGACCCACAGATGCACCTCCAAAAAAGAATTACTCCTTCAGAGGGGCAAGAACTGTCTTCTCTGGTTTAGAGGTTTTAAAAATAAAAGTCCAGTGATGTTTGTTGCCATGGATCTAGCTTGTGGGGCAGCCAGTCTGAGAGATGTAGGAGAGAAAAAATGTCCCAATGGTGTACAAGCTCCTGGAGTTCCTGTCATCTCCTGCCCTTCCTTCAGTGAGCTCATAATTTTTTTAAGCTAATATGAGTTCGGTTTTGTTGCTGTTGTTACTTGGAATTAGAAACCTGAATAATAAATAATAAAGCATGGATAATCATGTTGTAATACTATGACATCATATTCTTATATCTCTGGGTGAAAATGCTCTTTCTCTAAAGGTCACTAGACAGATTTGGACCAAAACTATCCAGATTGTTAATGCCCCAAACCCCCCAAATTTCCAGGGATTTGAGGCTACCATGAGATATACCTCATGCTCCATGGTCTCCAGAAGGAATTATCATAGAGAATGGACCTTTTCAGTTTCTAGCCTGAGACTGGAAATGTCAGTCTACCGTCAGAGATACAAAACTGAGTCAGATATGGAGAAGAGCTTTCTGTGATGGGATAGGGGTTACAAGACTCAGACTAAGCTTACAAGATGTAGGTGTAATATATAAAGAGCACTTACATGCTTTGTAAGAGTTTTACTCTTCTGTGAGACTTTTTCAATCCAAAGCACAGTAACGAGAAGCATAACCAAATTCGAAAACCTAGGCTCCATTCTGAACATTAACGAGTTTCATGAGGCTTAAGCAACAATACCACATCTCTGATTGTATAGAAAGGGCACGGCCGTGATCGTATAGTGGTTAGTACTCTGTGTTGTGTATAGAAAGGGTACAAATTCGTTGCCCAGGTACTCATTCAAAGAAGTCACAGTTTATCTAAAGTACAGTAAGATCCAGCGTCTTCTCTCACTGATGACATTTTCACTAACAGGTGACATTATTTTGTGGTTTGTGTTTCATCTCCCTTTCTATTTTCCTCCTTACCTCACAGCCAGTTGCTAATAAATAATAAAATGAGCAAAGGCAGATAGCAAGAAAGAGAAGCAGAGGAGCAAATCGCATGAATAACCCCAAACAACACAGACTTACCCTGAGTACTCAAGAGCTGCTGATCTGCAAAATTATAGTGTATCCTAGAGAGCCTCTTGCTTTCCAAAGGCTGCAGACTCTACAGTAATTACCTAATCAATAAGTACAATCCCTTTGCATTGAGCAGATTTGCATTTTTCAGGCAGAGAAATGAGAAATAGAGTAAGTGAGGGAATTACTTTATTAAGAAATCCTTCCATGTGTACAGGGTTTTATAGCTCACGGTGAACTTCACATTCATTATCATGTTGTATTAGCCAGCAAACACTGTAAGATAGTTAGAAAAGATATAGTTATTCACACCCAATGAAAGAGCAAACTCAAACTCACAGATGTTCTCTAGGTAGCCCTAATTCATGCACCTGGGAAGTCTTAGAGATGGGACTTAAAACCAGGACCTGTATTCCTAGTTCAGGAGTCTTCTTATTAAATTGTCTGGCCTGAGGATCAGGAGCATTTGGCCCTTAGGTTCACTCCATTTATTTTTTTGGTAAGGTATTTCCTCTGATGATTTAATTAACATATGCCATTTATAGAGCATTTATAATACAAGTAAAGCAGATACAAATCACTCAAAACTGGAAATTGAATGCTAAAAGTAGTTTAACATGCATTTTTCTAACTTTTTTGTTGTACAACAATAATAATTTTGGACACAAATATGTTAGGCACTGATCCAAGTACTTTACACGTTACCTTAATTAATCCTTACAGTAACCATTTGAAGGAGGTACTATTATCTTCATTTTGTGAACGAAGAAACTGAGGCACAGCAGGGTTAAGAAACTTGTCCAACATTACATAGCTACTGTGTGTGATTTAAGCTAATATGAGTTTTTTTTTTTGTTACTTGGAACTAGAGACCTGAATAACATAGCACGGATAATCATCATGTTGTAATACTATGACATCATATTCTTAATTTCATTCATGCTCTTAATTTCAATGATAAATAAACCTCCCACTACAAACACACATACACACACACACATATATAAGTATACAAATTTGGGACCATGCTCTTCATTTCTTTGGAAGGTTCTTTTTTTGATTATATATATATGTCTTGCATATTTTTACATTATTCATCTGCAGCCAAAAAGTTAATATATTCCTTGGCTTCAACTCTCAGCGGCTCCATTGCCAATAGGTCATCATACAAGTTCTTCTGCAGGGCACATGAGGCCTTGAGTAATCCAGCTCATTTATACTTGGAAACCTGCCAGTTACACTAAGGAAAAATGTAAGATCTCTTACCCATGCTGTTTTCTATACCCTGGATTTTGCTAGTTCTTTTCTCCGGAATGCCTTCTCATTTCTCTTCCTCAGTGTAACCTCTGTTAATTTTTTAAGACTCTGCTTGGGAGCCATTTCCTCCAGGAAGAATTTCTTCTGCAACTCCACCACACTGTGAACTGAAATAGGTAAGCCTGATCTGGGCTGTCCCATGGTCCCCTTAGGACGAAGAAGCAGCTTAGGCATTCCTCAAGTGTTTGAAATAAATCCTCTCAAGGACAAAGCCTGCCTAGACACTGCATTTGAAGTATGCCCAAGGCTCCCATAATGGAATCTAATTCTACTCTTGAGTGACCTTGTGGAGTCTTAAAGGAATCTTGAATCAGAATTTCCTTGGATTAGAAGAGATTCCTGGAAGTGGGCAGCTGGTGACAGTCCCTCTTTGCTCCTCTCCCCTCATCAGCCTGCCAAGTTTCCTGGTACAGAGCCAGTCTATGACTTAAAAGACTTTTCAAAGAGGTTTACTTCCCCTACAGCTGTGACTGCCAATAATTCTCTTTAGCTTCTTGCTTAGTGAGAATGCAAATTCCCTTTGGGGTAATACTGCTTTTATGAGTTTTCTATATCTTAGTAAGAAAGAACAGTCTAGAATAGGGTTCAGAAAATGTAGGGGAAAACAACAGGACATTCTGAATTCTGCTGAAGGCTGACCCTTATTAGATGCCACCCTTAGAGTTGCAGCCACCAGTCCTAGGGAAGTGAGTCTGGGGTACCTGGGCCTGGAAACCCACCAGGATTTCCACGAGGGTAATCCCTACACTTTTGCCTACACGGCCAGTCAGAGCAGCCAGACAGTACCCAGAGGGTCATGTCTTGGCTATCTAATGGGACCTGCTCACAGGGTGACATTGCCTCCTCCTTCAGAACTCACATAGGGATTTCCCCTGCATCCTACACTGAGACCCGAATACTTCCAAGTGCAGTTTTAACAATGCATTATTGTCTGGAGGATTTGTTGGTTGTGAAGGATGCAGTGGCTAAGATGATAAGGAATATATCTGTCTCTCTTATGACTCCTTTGTAGGTAATGGAACGTTACTTATTTAAGTAGTATCTCCATCTTTATGAAGGGAACAGAGTCTGTCTATTACTATTTTTTTTTACCTTAACGTCCTGCTCAAAATCATAGTAGCCTTGTTACAGAAATTATTTCTCTTATGCAGATCTTTGTTTCAAGATGCATCACTGAAGCAGCTTATAGAAACTAGCATCCAATTATAGAAACTAGCATCCAAAATAACCTAATCCTCAAATCTAATATCATTTCATTAATGGAAGGGCCTTGGATCAGACAGAGGCTACGGTTAGAATTAAGGTGTCTGGGGTGATATTCAGTTGTCTTATAAAGGCTGTAATGATCAAAATCAAATCATTTCACTGCCGAGTTTCTATTTCCTCCTTAGAAAAACAGGATCTCCCTCCTATATCCAAGTGCTGATGGACAACAGTTGACAAACATCCCCAAGTTGTTGCAATTATATGGTTGCCTTTTCTAGCAGCAACTTTCTTAGTAAAAGGTTCTTAGGGGCTCAGTGTGGCTAAGGTAAGATTGCCTTTCATCTATTTCTTCCTTGCTTTCCAGATAATCCATGGCTAAAATTAGTAAGGCTTAGTTCAGTAAAAAATACTGTTACAGCAGGGAGCCATGGAAACAGTGTTGGAGCCACTTCCCCTTCAGGGAGCTGCCTTTTGCAGGATATGACTTATTGCTGATCAAATGAAACAACTCACTGCATTTGAAGCTGGGGTTTGAAATTAGTTAAAAGCACAGGCAAATCTTTCAAAAGCACCATCCTTCCCGTTTTCTTTTTCTTCTTTCATTCCATCCAGGAAAGAAAAATGTATCTCAAATTAAGTGTTGAATTTTGCTTTTGAATACAGTATGAGAAGATTAATCTACTGACCCACCATCCTGCATTTGAGGTGTCTTTTTGGTAGTTCTAGTGGACAATGATGTTAAAGGTAATTAATGCCTTCCTCTATACATTATTTTATAGTTTATAAAAAAGCTTCCCTGTGCACTGCCACTGAAGTCTTAGGATAACATCTCAAAGGCGGAGAACATGATGAGAAAACTCCCAATCAGATGAGGAAACTGAGGCTCATCCAGGCTTGTTGACTCAGCTTGTGACAGGAGGAAATAAGATGAAAGTTTACATCTATCACCTGTGATTCCATCCTCTGATCTCCTTGTGACTGGGGTACCAAACTGATATGACAGAGGGTAGGAAAGCTTCAAATAAGTAGAACTGACTCTCCATGGCCAGAATTGTAATTGCTTAAGTCTATATTTGGCAAACGTTCAGCTTTGCTGTGGTCAACCTCCCTGAATCTACCAGGGTCTCCCCTACCTTAGAAAGCAGAGCCCTCCTGATGCCCCCTGGGAAGAAGCCAGAATTGGGATGCTACATTCTGATCTGTTTGTCCTTTGTCCAAAGGACTCTTCCTCTGAATCTTTATTTTCTTCCAATTTCCACGACCCCTGCTTATCTGAGTTCACCCCTTTCCTCCTGGTCTCTGCTCCTCTGAGAAAGGTATCTAAGAAGTTAATTCATCTAAATGTGTTCATAAAGCCTGATGAATTAATGGATCTCAGGACAGAGACTTTTGCATTTTAACAGATACCCTAATTGCTGTGGCTTGACTTAAGGGCTCCTTAATGCAAGTTTGGTCAACTTCACCAAGGTCAGGTGTGTCAAAAATAAAATGAGATCAGGATAGAAAAATGTCTGTAGTGTGCATACAAAAGAATAGTTCTGGAATTAGGATACCTCAAGCCAAAGTGATATGAGGCCCCACTGACAGCACTTGCAGTCCAGTTTAAAAGGGGAACATCACACACAGGGGCCTGTTGTGGTGTGGGGGGAGGGGGGGAGGGATAGCATTAGGAGATATACCTAATGTAAATGACGAGTTAATGGGTGCAGCACACCAACATGGCACATGTATCCATATGTAACAAACCTGCATGTTGTGCACATGTACCCTAGAACTTAAAGTATAATTTAAAAAAAGAGGTTATAATACTTTTGAAGAAGAATAAAAAAACAAAATAAAATAAATGCAAAAAATAAATAAAATAAAAAGTGTAAAGAAAAAAGTATTTTGATCTTTTTCTTGATTTACTGTCATATATTAACAGGCTTTTAAAGGCAAGCAGAGCTGTTTAAGCTGATTCATCTATAGAAGGTTGGTTTAATTTCATTGAATTATGCTAACAGTGATAAAAAGTTTATGTTTTGCATTTCATTTCTAATTAGAGCTAGCATTTTGGAGAGATCAGGACAGTTTAGGATTTGGCTATGTGACTATGGGCAGTTGGTTTGGGGATATATCTAAACTGTGGCCTCCATTTTTATTTTCCTTTAACAGGAGTCAGATCCCAATGTCCTCAAGTAGGGCCACAATGGGGCTTGAAGGGTGATAATTTTAGGGAAAATGGGCATTTAATAAACTACTCTTGTTGACTATTTTTCTCTTTTGCAGTTCGTTCAGTAGTGCATCCTCAGGAGACTGCAGCTTGTATTAGTTGAAGGATTTAATATTATTTTAATCCTTATTACCAGTGGAATTTATCATGCAGGTTTCCTGTCCTCTCGCCATTTTACTCCCCACCCCCATCCTAAATGCTGCTGTAGCTTCCCTGGAACCTCTGGGGCCAGGGTGGGGATTCCAACTGCTGCAGCCACTGCAGTCACACTGTATTAGTCCATTTTCACACTGCTGATAAAGACATACCAGAGACTGGGAAGAAAAAGAAGTTTAATTAGACTCACAGTTCCACATGGCTGGGGAGTCCTCAGAATCATGGCAGGAGGTGAAAAGTACTTCTTACATAATGGCAGCAAGAGAAAATGAGGAAGATGCAAAAGTGGAAACCCCTGATAAAACCATCAGACCTCATGAGACTTATTCACCACCACAAGAATAGTATGGGGGAAACTGCCCCCATGATTCAAATTATCTCCCACCGGGTTCCTCCCGCAACACATGGGAATTATGGGAGTACGATTCAAGATGAGATTTGGGTGGAGACGCAGAGCCAAACCATATCACACACCATGTGGCTGGCTTTCTTCTCGCCCCCTGATGCCTGCCCACAGAGGTCCTTCATTGAATCCATAAGCTATGCAGTGCTTCATGAGGTTGAAAAGGAAAAGTACTGACACAGTGTGGTTTTCTTGTCCCAGGGTGTATCTGATATTGTCACATTGGGTTTTGTTTCCATTCAATACATGAGATAGATTTTTCAAAATGATGATTAGTTTCATGAGCTTTCAAAATTTTTGTCATTATCACAGGCTCATGTGGCTATTCTCCACCCTCTGTTCTCAAAGCACGAGAACCACTAGCATCACGAAAGGCTCTTATCAGATGAAGTCATTCATAATAAGCTGCAAGAGAAGGTGTGTCAGGCAGCATAGCCCTCACTGTCAAATTCACTCTGTACAACAGGGTAGAGAAGACAACCACACACATGACTTACATTTCTTTGCCAGAAATGGTTTATTCTGAGTATACGACATTAATGGCTTCTTCTTTTGTGAAATCTTCCTTGTGTCTCTCCCACCCTCCACTCTGCTGTCTGGGCTCCCATAGTGTCCTATACTCACCTCTAAGGTCTTATCAACTGTCTTATATTTGTCCTTTTTCTTAGCTTCTTCCTGAGAGGAATAAGTGTTTATTATCTTTATAATCCCAATTTCTACTATGATAGCTATTGAATGAGTTTAGACTAAAGGCTTGCATGAAAATACAGATGATGAATACATCTCATCTCACACGTTAATTCTCATCAGCTAAAAGTGGCTGCCTAGTAATAGTGCAGCAGTTGATTACTAATGCCTGGCATGGGCAGGGTCTGGAATCCTGGTGGCTCTAGTCTAGGGGTAGATGCATACCATCTCTAAATTAAAGAATGCATGGCACATTATGAACTCTAGCATGCCATGACTTTTTCATATCTGGTCCCATCTTAAAAGGACTATATTTAAAAGTCTGACTGGATGGGTGTAGATTCAGAAGGCTCTTCTGCTTACATTTTCATCTTTTTTCCTCTATTCCTAATACAGAGGTTCTTAGTGTCTATAAACCTCTGTAATCTCAGGTAAATTCTTTAGAAAAAGAAATGCAGCCCTGCAATACACTTTTTGAAAATTCTTGCCTCTTCAGTTGAAGTATTGTGAAATAGGACAAAATATGAATAAAACATTGTGAAATGTTTCACATTTTAGATATGTTGAATTCCATATCCCAAGAAAAAAAATTACAAGTTTTGAGGATTTTATTTCTAAGAATGTGATATCTAATTTCTACATCTAAAAATATATTAGGTTCCTGTATTACCTCATATTTGTTATCATAATAAAAATAATTATTAACATACTAATATACATAAATAGTAATATATAATTGTATAACACATGTATATTGCTTTAAATGTGTATAAACACATATATATTGCTTTTTATTAAATAAATGATTAGGTACATGTATTTGATTATGTGTTACAATGTTTCTGGTAGACATCTGGCAAAACTGGTATCTTATGAACATTTACATTTCTTTCAACTGAAATGTATACATAATTAGCTTATATGTCTAACCCAGAAAAGTGACTGTTTTTCTCATTTAAGGAAATAAATCATTACTGATGACTCTATTAATAATGAAAATCCAATCATAGCATTTACAAAATATAAAATTGCTGTTAAATAAAGTAATACAGAAGAATGATGTTCTGTGGTAAAATGGCCTGGTTCTAAAGGTCTTAATTGGCGTGAGAAAATGACTATGCTTGATGTATGAATGCTCACTCCCTTTTGAGGCTCTAAGAAACATCCATGCTGTATCAAACTCAATATTCATTAATTTTATTGGCCATGGCAGAGACAGCTAGTGACCTCCCAATAACTACTCCCACCTTCTTTTAGCAGTAGAGCCCTCAAGTTTTAGCCAGTCATATGCATTTTCCAGCTTCAATTTCAGCTAGATGTGATCATGTGACTAAATTCTGACTAATGGATTAGGAAGAGAAGTGATGTTTACAATTGGCAGTTGTGTCTTCCGCTTCCTTTTCCCTCTGTCCACTAGCCAGGACGTGAAGACTTTGCACTGGGAACCTGAGACATCATCTCAGACCAAAGGGGAATCCTGTACATTGATAGCAAACCTATGAGATAGAAAAAGTCTGGGTTCCTGATATTATGGAGCTTCCATGTCAGTCCTGGCCTGCCTATGCTCAGATTATCATATGTGTGAGAGAGAAATTTCTCTCTTGTTTCAATCACCAGTTTTTGTTTCAAAAACCAAACCATTTGACTTTGGTTCTATCTTAACTCTTCCAGTGGCTTCTTTCTGTCACTCTTCCTAATGAGACCACTAAATCGAGGGTGTTTTTCCTGTAGTGGGGGCAGCTTTGGAAGACTATATCAAAGGAATGGAAAAGATGGGTCCTGAATCACAAAGTCAAAGTAACATCCACAGACTGGTAGGTAGTTGTGATCTCCTAACTCACTTTACAACTGGGATGGAATGGTTGGGATTAAGGGCTTTCCTGTAAGATACACTTGGGTTTGAATACTGAGTATGCCTTGGAATCTGTCTTTATTGACTAATTTTATTGGCTGTATCAGAGATGGTAAGTTTTTGCTACAAATCAATTTCCCCCTCTTTTATAAATAAATAATAAAGCCTCCAAGATTTTTCTGGGCTCATGCCACTCAAAGTCTGCGTTTTCCAACTTCCCTTTCAGTAGCCATATGGCTAGGGTTGGCTTCATGAGCCTGAAACCTCTGCAGTCACACAGGGTCCCCCACTCAGAAGGGCACCACTCAGAAGGGCATCATGCTTGGTTTAATGCTCTGCTATTACTGGATTGAAATTCTTAATAATTTTTGAACAAGGGTCTTTGCATTTGAATTATGTACTGAGACCTCTAAATTATGCAGCTTGTCCTACATGTGCCTAATGGAATGTGAATGGGAACTTGGAACATTTGTTTAGTATGGAGCCTATATTTTCTCATCTAAAATGGGGACAAATACATAGATGTATGTATTATATATAATGGGGACTTATATATATGAAATTAAATGAAATAAAAATATAGTAGGAGAATACATGTCACAAAGTACTCAACAAATGCAGACTTTTTAAAACTGAGACAAGCTAATATTTTTCCCATAATCACTATGATCCCATGACACTAAACCAAACTCCTATGAAAACTTGAGCATATTCCTAATCTGATAGAGGATAGGGATACAAAGAGTAATATCATGTATATATTTTGCCTATGAATAAAACAATTAGATAATCATTTACTTCCCAGTACACTGCCCCAGATGTTGGGGAATCCCAGAAATAGGAAGGAGACTCATAGAGAACTTACAAGCTAAAAGGTGAGCCAGAAACACACATACATAGCTGTAGTACAGGGTATGAGTGGGTTGCCGGTATAGTACACTATGACTTTGGGAGAAAGGAGTGTCTGGGAAAGTGACTTCATGGATGGCTGGATCATAGGCTCAGGCAGGAGATACGTGGCACATTTAGGACATTTTTGTGGTCAGAATTGAGGGGGTTCTACCATTAGTCTACCTTGACCTGAAGTGCATAGGCTTTAAAAACCTCATTTCTCCAGAAATCAAGTTTTCTGAGAGAAAACATCACCTAGGACAGGCAGCAATGAGGAAGAGTTGGAGGGAATGATGAGGCCTGAAGATGGGGGCTGAAGGAAAAGGTTGTCAGTAAGGCAAACATTGAGAAGACGCTGAGAAAGGGATTCTAGAAAAGTGAGCTACATGAGCCTCAGCTCCTACACTACAGCGAAGTAAACATCCTCTCTAAACAGAGATGCCTCCTTCCCCAGTGACTCAAGACAGACACATTAAGCAGCTGGTTGTGGGCTCTGCTGCAATGAACTTCCTGAAGGAAGCACAGTAAGAGGAAGGGAAATGGAAATTATGACACTAGTAATACTAAGCACCGGCATTTAACCATCACAAGAACCTTATGAGACAGATACCATTATCATTTCCATCTTCTGAGATTGCATAGCCAGTTCCTGAAGGAGCTGGACCTGAGCAGACAGTTGGCTGACTTCAAACCTGTGTACTTCACTGCATTATTATATACTATTCCCATGGTTAAGCTACAGTATTTGTAAGAGAAATCCTCTTATTTTATGGGCTTTAACAGTGGAAAACATGAGTTTCCAAGTGACCAAAATGAACAGGTTGAAGATATTTTTAGTTGGAGTATTAGTTTAAGGCAGGGATGTTTCATGCCAGTCTTACACTGAAATGGTCCTTAATAAAAGGTGCTATAGTTTGGATGTTTGACCCCTCCAAATCTTATGTTGAAATTTTATCTCCAATGTTGGAGGTTGGGCCTAATAGGTTGGAGGTTTGGGTCATGGGGTCAGATTCCTTATGAATACATTAATGCCTACCCTCTCTGGATGAGGGGGTGGGGGGATAAGTGATTTCTTACTTTCATTAGTTCCTGTGAGAACTGGTTGTTAAAAAAGAGGCTGCCTCCTCCCCTGCCACTCTTTGTTATTTCCTCTCTCACCATATGATCTCTGCATATACCCCTTCACCTTGTGCCATGAGTGAAAGCAGCCTGAGGTTTTCACCATATTCCCAGTCTTCCAGCCAGAAGAATCATGAGCCAAGTAAACCTATTTTCTTCAGAGCACATCTTGCTATTTTGATTTCAGACAAAACAGACTTTAAACCAACAATGATCAAAAAGAACAGAATTGCATAATGGTAAAGGGTTCAATTCAACATGAAGATATATATATATATACACACACACACATACACGCAACACTGAAGCACCTAGATTTATAAAACAAGTTTGTAGAGACATGAAGAGGCTTAGATAACCATGAAGTAATAGTGGGAGACTTCAACACCCCATTGACAGTATTGGACAGATCATCAAGGCAGAATTCTAACAAAGGTATTCATGACCTAAACTTGACACTTGACCAAATAAACCTAACACACATCTCCAGAACACTCCATGCAATAACAGCAGAATATACATTCTTCTCATCTGCGCATGGCACATCCTCTAACATTGACCACATGCTCAACAATTCTCAACAAATTCAAACAACCTGAAATTATATCAACCACCCTCTCAGACCACAGTGCAATAAAAATAGAAATCAATACCAAGAAGAGTTTTCAAAACCATATAATTAAATGGAAATTAAGCAATCTGCTCCTGAATGACTTTGAGTAGATAATGAAATTAAGGCAGAAATCAAGAAACTCTTTGAAAATAATAAAAACAAAGATACAACACACCAGAATCTTTGAGACACAGCTAAAGTTGTGTTAAGTGGAAAGTTGATAGTGCTAAACAGCCAATCAAAAAGTTAGAAATATCTCAAATTAATAACCTAACATCACAGCTAGAGGAACTAGAAAAACAAGAGCAAACCAACCCCAACGCTAGCAAAAGAAAAGATACAACTGAAATCAGAGCTAGACTGAACACAATGGAAATGAGAAAAATCATACAAAAGATCAATGAAATCAAAAGTTGGTTATTTGGAAAAAGAAATAAGATTGGTAGACCACTAGCTAGGCTAATAAAAAAGAGAGTGAGGATGCAAATAAGCACAATTAGAAATGAAAAAGAGGACATTACCACCAAACCCATAGAAATGCAAAAATTTCTCAGTGACTATTATGAACCTCTTCATGCACACGAACTGGAAAATCAAGAAGAAATGGATAAATCCCCGGAAATATACAACCTTCCAAGATTGAACAGAGAAGAAATGGAAACCCTGAACAGACCAATAACAAGTTCCAAAATTAAATCAGTAGTAAAAAAAAATACCAACTAGAAAAAGCCCTGTATCAGACAGATTCACAGCCAAATTCTACCAGACATATAATGAAGAGCTGGTACCAATTCTACAGAAACTATTCCAAAAATTCAAGGAGAAGGAGCTCCTCCCTCACTCATTCTATGAGGCCAGCATCATTCTGATTCCAAAACCTGGCAGAGAGCAGAGTGAAAAAAGAAAACTTCAGTCCAATATCCCTGATGAACATAGATGCAAAAATCCTCAACAAAATACTAGCAAACCAAATCCAGCAGCACATCGAAAAGGTAATCCACCACAATCAAGTAGGCTTCATCCCTGGGATGCAAGGTTGGCTCAACATATGCTAATGATCAATAAATGTGATTCATCACATAAACAGAACTAAAACTAAAAACTATATAATTATCTGAATAGACACAGAAAAGGCTTTTGATAAAATTTAAAGTCCTTTCATGGTAAAGCTCTCAAGAAACTAAATATTGAAGGACTATTCCTCAAAATAATAACAGCCATCTATGACAAATCCACAGTCAACATCATACTGAACACATAAAAACTGGAACCATTCGCCTTGAGAGCCAGAACAAGACAAGGATGCCCACTATCACCACTCCTACTCAACATAGTACTGGAAGTGTAGCCAGAACAATCAAGCAAGGGAAAGAAAGAAAGGGCATCCAAATAGGAAAAGAGGGAGTCAAATTATCTCTCTTCACAGATGATATGATTTTAGGCCTAGAAAACCCCATAGTCTCTGCTCAAAGGCTCCTAAATCTGATAAACAACTTCAGCTAAGTTTCAGAATAAAAAATAAATGTAAAAAATCAGTAGCATTTCTGTATACCAACAATGTCCAAGCTGAGAGTGAAATCAAGAATGCAATCCCATTCCCAATAGCCACAAAAAGAATAAAATAGCTAGGAATACAGGTACCCAGGGAATTGAAATATCTCTACCACAAGAATTACAAAACACTGCTGAAAGAAATCAGAGACAACACAAACAAATGGAAAAACATCCCATACTCATGGATAGGAACAATGATTATTGTTAAAATGGCCATACTGCCCAAATAAATGTATAGATTCAATGTTATTCCATTAAACTATCAATGACCTATCAAACTATCAATGACATTATTCACAGAATTAGAAAAAAAACTGTTACAAAATTCACTGAGAACCAAAAGAGAGTCTGAATAGCCAAAGCTGAAGCAAAAAGAACAAAGCTGGATTCATCACACCACCTGACTTCAAGCTATACTGTAAGGCTACAGCAACTAAAACAGCATGGTACTGGTATGAAAACAGACACATAGACCAATGAAACAGATTTGAGAACCCAGAAATAAAGCTGCACACTTACAACCATCTGATCTTTGACATAGATGACAAAAACAAGCAATAGGGAAAGAACACCCTGTTCAACAAATGGTGCAGGTATAACTGGCTAACTATATGCAGAAGACTGAAACTGGACTCCTACCTTTCACCACATACAAAAATCAACTCAAGATGATTTAAAGACTTAATCTAAACCTAAAACTATAAGAAACCTAGAAGAAAATATAGGAAATGCTGTTCTGGACATCAGCCCTAGCAAAGACTTCATGATAAAGACTCAAAAAGCAATTGCAAAAAAACCCATGTCGAAAATGGACAAGTGGAACCTAATTAAACTAAAGAGCTTCTGCACAGCCAAAAACAAACAAACAAACAAACAAAAAAACAACCAGCAGAGTAAACAGACAACCTACAGAATGGGATAAAATATTTGCAAACTATGCATCTGTTAAAGCTCTAATATCCAGAATCTACAGGGAACTTAAACAAATCAACAAGCAACAACCAACCAACCTCATTTTAAAAATGGGCAAAGGGCTTCTTTCAAAAGAAGACACACACATGGCCAACAAATATATGAACAAATGCTCAGTATCCCTAATCATTAGGGTAATGCAAATCCAAGCCACAATGAGATACTATCTTACAACAGTAAGAGTGGCTATCATTAAAGGAAAAAATAACAGACTGTAGCAAGGTTGCAGAGAAAAGGGAATGTTTATACACTGCTGGTGGGAGTGTAAATTAGTTAAGCCACTGTGGAAAGCAGTCTAATGATTTTTCAAAAAAAAAAAAAAAAAACCTTAAAGTAGAACTACCATTCAACCCAGCAATCCCATCACCCACCACTGAGTATATATCCAAAGGAGTATAAATTGTTCTACCATAAAGACACATGCATGTGTATGTTTATCACAGCACTATTCAAAATAGCAAAGACATAGAATCAACCTAGATGCCCATCAATGGTGCACTGCATAAAGAAAATGTGGTACATATACAGCATGGCATACTATGCAGCCATAAAAAAGAATGAAATTATGTCCTTTGCAGTGACACTGATGAAGCTGGCGGCCATTATCCTAAGGAGAACAGAAAACTAAATACTGCATATTCTCACTTATAAGTTTGAGCTGAAAACTGAGTACTCATGGACACAAAGAAGTGAACAGTAGACACCAAGGCCTACTTGAGGGTGGAGGTTGATAGTAGGGTGAGGATTGAAAAATTCCCTATCAGGTATTGTAAGTTTGAGCTGAAAACTGAGTACTCATGGACACAAAGAAGTGAACAGTAAACACCAAGGCCTACTTGAGGGTGGAGGGTGATAGTAGGGTAAGGATTGAAAAATTCCCTATCAGGTATTATGCTGATTATCTGGCTGACAAAATAATCTGTACATAAAATTTCAATGGCATGCAATTCACCTATGTAACAAACCTGCATATGTACTCCTGGAACCTAAATTAAAAGTTGGAATGAAAAAAAATTACTCTTTTCATTATAAATTACCCAAACTCGGTATTCCTCTACAGCAACATAAATGGACTAAGACAAAAGGCCTCAAAGTGGCCAGGTGCAGTGACTCTCACTTGTAATCCCAGCACTTTGGGAGGGTGAGGCGGGCAGATCACCTGAGGTCAGGTGTTTGAGACCAGCCTGGCCAACATGGTGAAACCCCATCTCTAGTAAACATACAAAAATTAGCTGGATGTCATGGTGTGCACCTGTAATCCCAGCTACTCAGGAGGTTGAGGCAGGATAATTGCTTGAACCTGGGAGGCAGAGGTTGCAATGAGCCAAGATCACCCCCACTGTATTCCAGCCCAGCCTGGGAGACAGAGCGAGACTCCATCTTAAGAAAAAAAAAAGCCTCAAAGTCATACTTCTGAAGGCATACAAGGAATGCCTTCAGAAGTTTGACTTTGCCATAGTTAAGTCATCCATCCATTTAACAACAATGTATTGAGAACGTCCTGCGTGTCAAGTGCTGTTCTGAGTACTGGAATGTAACGGTGAACAAGAACTTGGCATAGTCTCTATCTTCAAAGAACTTACTTCATCTATTACTTAAGGTTGAAGCCGAATTGAGGCCAGTTTACTAAGGACCTGTGTCCCTATTTAGTAGTCTGGAGTTTATTCTGAGGACAATGGAGATTCATTCAAACGTCTGAACTAGAAGAGTAACTTGAGATTTATATCACTTACATGTCATCCTGGAAATACTGTGGGGAAGGATTAGAGTAAGAGAAGACTAGAGACAGGAAGTCTAGCTGGTAAACTAGAGGCATCTTGTTGGGTAGATAACTCCAAAGATATGCCCTTGACAATGGAATGGCATGCAGATATGCAGATGCCACTCCCTACTAGAAGGGTAGGTGATTATTGTCTGATCACAAACACATGTAGAGTCGAGAGGTGATGGAAAGTATTACTTTTTTCTCTGCTTTATTGGGGAAAAGAATCCCTGTTCATTATAATCCCCTTCTCTCCTGTCATATGCTCATGAAACAATGTATGGAGGGATATAAGTGGTCATACCCATGGCAGTGGGAGCAGGAGAACCAGTGAACTGAGAAGAGAGGCCTGCAGGTGCCATGTCGTTGGAAGACATGCAAGGAAGAATCTGCCATTTCAGGCATAAATGAAGGGACCAGGTGCAAAGGGAAGGAAGACGTCACTGGGTAAGGGCCACTCTCTACTCAGGTGGGGGGGAATAGTGATTCCTGCAATGCAGGCAGGGCATCCAGTAAGCTCCCAGAGAGCAGGGAATTGATGCTGCCAACTGAGTACAGCCACACAGGCCAAAACAGACAATCCAGCCAGGAGTGAGGCTTTGCTGACTGGGTGAGAGTAAAGGAGCATAACAAAGGCAAGGCCTGAATAGTAGCTGAACTGAACCCACCTGAGCTCTGGGATGAGCTGAAAGAGTATCAGACTTGGGGTCAGGATTTTTCTCATATTTGTTTTAAATCTGTTCCAGTGCACAGAGACTCGGGCTGCCAAGGAACTGGATGCTTGTGTTAAACACAGTGATACCTTCTCCCAGTGGACGTCTCCTGCCAGACTGCTCCCCTTGGTCTTCTTCTCACCTTCAGAGGCACCTCTGCCCCAGTTCTGTCCAAAGCTGACAAACACACACTCATCCAATCATTTCTTCCTTCCGTTGTTATTTCTAGTAGACCTTCGAGTATTCTGATTTCTCTGGGTGTCAGCTCAGCTTACATTAGAATGAATGAGAGACAGCATGAGAGAGAGAAAGAAATTATGGAATAATTTGAACTGGACTTATTACCACAAAGAAAACTGTATCGACACTTGCAGGATTTGAAGTTACATGGAAAATAACAGACCACCGCTGCTCAGATATTTGAGCACCGTATCTGTGCACCTAATGGAAGGGTTTCTCTGTACCTTCTACCTGACTCTGAAGATGCACACATGGGTTTAGGAATATTGGCTCAGGATCCCAAAAATTTTACACAATTGAATCTGGTCTAGTAAATAGCAAATAGTACTTGCCCAGAGACTTTTTAGAAGTGGACTGATGTACATCTATTGCTTCTTTGTTTCAACAGCAGATTTTATTGTTCACTAAATCTTGGATTGAGCATTTTAAACATGCAGGCTTGTTTGTGCATGTCAGTGAGTAAATGAGAGTGGATTCTTCCCTTCATCAGCATGATCAGTGCAACCTGAACAAGCACTTACCACATAGGGATTCTTACTATTACTCAGTGTGTGGCTTTCTTTCCCCCGCCTCCTTACCTCCCGGGCATAGACACATGCCTATCTCATTCCCTGTCGCCAATAGATTGCACACAACTCTGGAAAAAGGGCAGATCGTTTGTATCTCTGTTTACCCCATAGTATTCAATAGATTTACAATAGAAGACATCTTTAAATTGTATTTTCCAAAGATGGCTGCACCAGTGTATCCCAATCCCATATGCTGTGTGTACTGTATGATGCTGACAGTCTTCCCATTCTCCTGAATCTGGGTAGGCCAGTGACTAAAAACAAAGTGACACTATGTGACTTCCGAAGTTAAGTTATAAAAAGGCAACAGCTTCCACCTCATCCTCTTTGAGGTGCTTGCACTTTAAACCCAGCCTCCACCCTGTGAGGAAGCCTATGGCACATGGAGAGGCCATGGGTAGGTATGCCCACTGACAGCCCCATTGAGGAGTTGAGGTCCCAGCTACGAGCTTCCATCAACCTCCTTCTGACATGAATGGGCCTCACTCCCACCTTTGAACGGCTCCAGTTCCTGCCTATAAAACAGACTTCCCCTGCTGAACCCTGGGCAAACTGCAAACTTGTGAGCTAAATAAATGGTCATTATTATTTTAAGTGTCTAAGTTTTGGGTGGTTTGTTATGCTGCAAGAGATATCCAGAACATCTATCATCTTCTCTCCTCTACTGTGTTAATTCACAGTCACATCTTCTCTCACCAATCAAACTCTAAGTTCCTTAGAGTCTGGAGGTTTTTCAGTCAAAATTTCACTTCCAGAATTTCCTTTCACACCACACTATATTTTAGCCAAACTAAGTTTCTTGCTGTTCTCTATACATGATCTTAGATTTCCAGTCTTTGAATGGTTGATCATCCTGTGTCTTTATTGTGCATGCACCTTGTACTCATCTATGTTCACCTAAGTCTT
Source organism: Homo sapiens (assembly GCF_000001405.40). Classification (NCBI taxonomy): domain Eukaryota; kingdom Metazoa; phylum Chordata; class Mammalia; order Primates; family Hominidae; genus Homo; species Homo sapiens. The sequence continues at coordinate 109,620,667 of NC_000011.10, forward strand.
ACTGTTTTTGAGACTGAGTCTCATGCCATGAAGAATTTCCTGATTCCTCTGGTCAGAAGGGAGGCCTCTGTCTTGTGAAATTCCATAGCAGTATAGATTAATCTTTTTTTTTTTTCTTTTTCAGACAGAGTCTGACTCTGTCGTCTAGGCTGGAGTGCAGTGGCACCATCTCCGCTCACTGCAACCTCCGCCTCCCTGGTTCAAGTGCTTCTCGTGTCTCAGCCTCTCGAATGGCTGGGATTACAAGCATGAACCACCGTGCCCAGTTAATTTTTGTATTTTTAGTAGAGACAGGGTTTCACCTTGTTGGCCAGGTTGCTCGCGAACTCTCGACCTCAGATGATTCGCCCACCATGTCCTCCCAAAGTGCTGAGATTACAGGTGTGAGCCACCGCGCCTGGCCAGATGAATTTCTCCTACCAGTATCGTCTCCTACATTATATTACCATTATATGTTTACAGATGTTTCTTCACTTCTAGACTGTCAGGTCTGCCATTACAGCTACCTAAATGATAAATATTTATGGAGTGTCTGCTACTTACCTACAATGTGCTAGGCACAGTGCATAGAGCACCAAACGAAGGCAGATGTGGCCTCTGCCCCGATGGCACTTTCCATCTAGTGAGGAAAATGCAATAAATTAGCAGTTATGTGACTATTATTCTCCTTTGGGGATTTTAACTATGTCAATCAATCTGGGACCTAACATGATACCCTATTTTCTTTTTTTTTATTATTAAAGTTTTAGGGTACATGTGCACAACGTGCAGGTTTGTTACATATGTATACATGTGCCATGTTGGTGTGCTGCACCCATTAACTCGTCATTTACATTAGGTGTATCTCCTAATGCTATCCCTCCCCCCTCCCCCCACCCCACAACAGGCCCCGGTGTGTGATGTTCCCCTTCCTGTGTTCATGTGTTCTCATTGTTCAATTCCCACCTATGAGTGAGAACATGCGGTGTTTGGTTTTTTGTCCTTGTGATAGTTTGCTGAGAATGATGGTTTCCAACTACATCCATGTCCCTACAAAGGACATGAACTCATCCTTTTTTATGGCTGCATAGTATTCCATGGTCTATATGTGCCACATTTTCTTAATCCAGTCTATCATTGTTGGACATTTGGGTTGGTTCCAAGTCTTTGCCATTGTGAATAGTGCCACAATAAACATATGTGTGCATGTGTCTTTATAGCAGCATGATTTATAATCCTTTGAGTATATACCTAGTAATGGGATGGCTGGGTCAAATGGTATTTCTAGTTCTAGATCCCTGAGGAATCATCACATTGACTTCCACAATGGTTGAACTAGTTTACAGTCCCACCAACAGTGTAAAAGTGTTCCTATTTCTCCACATCCTCTCCAGCACCTCTTGTTTCCTGACTTTTTAATGATCGCCATTCTAACAAAGGCTACAATAACCAAAACAGCATGATACTGGTACCAAAACAGAGATATAGACCAATGGAACAGAACAGAGCCCTCAGAAATAATGCCACACATCTACAACTATCTGATCTTTGACAAACCTGACAAAAACAAGAAATGGGGAAAGGATTCCCTATTTAATAAATGGTGCTGGGAAAACTGGCTAGACATATGTAGAAAGCTGAAACTGGATCCCTTCCTTACACCTTATGCAAAAATTAATTCAAGATGGATTAAAGACTTACATGTTAGACCTAAAACCATAAAAACCCTAGAAGAAAACCTAGGCAATACCATTCAGGACACAGGCATGGGCAAGGACTTCATGTCTAAAACACCAAAAGCAATGGCAACAAAAGCCAAAATTGACAAATGGGATCTAATTAAACTAAAGAGCTTCTGCACAGCAAAAGAAACTACCATCAGAGTGAACAGGCAACCTACAAAATGGGAGAAAATTTTCTCAACCTACTCACGTGACAAAGGGCTAATATCGAGAATCTACAAAGAACTCAAATTTACAAGAAAAAACAAACAACCCCATCAACAAGTGGGTGAAGGATATGAACACACACTTCTAAGAAGACATTTATGCAACCAAAAGACACATGAAAAAATACTCATCATCACTGGCTATCAGAGAAATGCAAATCAAAACCACAATGAGATACCATGATACTCTATTTTCTTTGTGGATGTGAGAGGCAGCATAGAGTAACTGGACATCTGGGTTCGAATCCCATCAATCCCACTCATTGTCTGTGAACATGGAATGAGGGCCTTAACGCTCTGTCCTTTATTTTCCTCATTGATCAAATGGGGATAATTTTAGCTACATCATAATGTAGTTCTTCTTACAAATAAGAAAACTTGTATAAGTTTCATCTTTGTACGGGGCACAGAGTGGGCATTCAGTTAACTCATATGTCCCTTTGTTCCCACCTTCTTTCACTTAATGTGGAGCTCAGTCTTTGGCTTCCACCCAACTAATGAGACTGACCAACTGATGTCCAACACTCAGACCCTGTCCTTCTCCTGTACATGCAACTCCTTCTCTGGTGTGAATGACACTGTTTCTTCAGACATCTTCTACTCATGCCACCCAGGTGGGAAAGGAAGAAAGACATCACTGTCATCTGGCTGACTTCTACGCATTACACAAAATTCAGCCAAAGTGGTACTTTTTCAGGGAGACTGTGACCATTCCCACCCCAGACTCCGTCGGACTGTGTTATTTTCCTTTGTTCTAGGAGGTCATAACACCTTATACTTCTCTTCCACAACACTTGTCACAACTGAAATTCATTACTTTTAACCTATCTATTACTTCTGTTTGATAGTAAGCTCCATGAGGGCAGGGGCCAGATCTGTGTTGTCACCATGATCACCAGCACCAGGTAAAATGTTACATAGGATGCGCTCAACAGATATTTATAGAGTTAATGAATAGAAGAAGGCATTGCAGTAGCAACTTTAACCGCAAGAGAGGACTAAGTCAGGAGGCACTGAGTCAACAATTTGTCTTTATTCAATAACTCTCATTATCACCCCCCACACTCCGGAGACCATTCTCCTTGAGCATTTCTATGATTAACCTTCAGAAGATTCTCAGGTCAAAGGGTGGGGGTCTTGTTTAATGGACCCAAGGAAAGCATCATTAATTTATTTTGCCAGCTAACTAGTTTCTCTGAACACCACCTCCTGATTGTCAATGATGACCTATGGAAGGCATAACAAAAGAATTTCTTAAAGTCTGATGTTTCAGTCAAACCAGCAAGCTGCTTCCAGCTGAGCCTATTATAGCAAACCCAAAAAGGTAACTGACATTTTGAGAGAGTTATGGCTGGACTATCTGCACTCCCTGAGACAGTCATGCTGTGGTACCATAAGACTTCCAGAGACGTTGAACCTCAAGACCTTTTGAAGCTAAGTAGCTCACAGAATTTTTACTTAAAAATATAGGTAACAGCTGTTCCTCCCTGCTGTGAGCAGGTAACAGGCCACTCTCCCAACACATTCTAAAACAGTATTGTCTATTCTTTGCTCATAGCCAAAGGGTTTCAATAAAATATCTTCCTCCTACCAAGTGTGAGGCCAGATATAGCACAGTAAATAAGAAAAGTAAAACTTGGAATCTTTTTTTGCAAATATTAGCATTAGTTATTTCTTTAGCAATATGAGGCCAAAATCCCCACAGTGTCTAGTTAAGTAAACATTGTACCTATTATTACCACAATGAAGGACATGGCTGCAGATCTGCTTCCTGCTCATAACAGAGCCTGCTGAGGCTTCTCTGTGTAAGGTTGAGTTTAGTCACAATTAGCATATCTACTGATCTGATACCCTTATGACTAGAAAGATGTATTAGAAGATTAGACCACAATTTTAATGCAGGCTATATAGCTTGCATAGAATCTCACATACCTTTTATATATTAACAGATTGGAAGTAACTCCCCTTACAAAGTTAGAAAAGGTTGCTGGGACTGAGAAAAGAAAGAGAATAAGAAAAATGGTGGTACCTGTTATAGTCTAACTTTCATATATGTGAAGAATGTAGTGCAGTAATTGAGCAAAGTCTATTCCCATTTCGCTATCTTGGGTATTTTTCATGTGCTAGATCCTGGGAAAATTCATTAAGCTCTGCTTCCTTTTTGTTCCAGATGTATAACTGCTATTAACATGAAACAGGGAGGAAAAGCAAGACTAATGCAGCTCATTTTCCCGTAAAAATTTTCCTCAGAGGAGAAAAGTCTTCCTCTTCATTTTGCATGCAGAAATACTCTATGCAAGTTTCTATGAAATTCTGCCTAATGAGGTGTGAATATTGTACCAATATGCCCTGGTAGAAGCATATCTTAGCTCTTAGGTTTTATTCTGCAGATGTATACTGTTTTTGGTTCCAATTGTCTCTAATTAATAAAATATCTCATGATGTTAATATTAGAAACACAAAGACAATACCATCATCATAAACTTTTTCATTTAACAGACATTTAATTAGCACTGCAGTAGGCACTGTGGGAATAGAAAATCTAATGAAGGGAAGACTTTCATTCCTAGCCATGATAGGAGTAACAGAGATACCCTGCCACATAAACCAAAAATATAAACAATAAAAATGAAACAACAGTTTCAAGATACCAGACATCACACAATGAACAGTATCCTTGAGAGATGGGAAACAAATGAGATGAGACTACAATTGCATTATGTTAATGCCTTGAGATAATTTTCAGGTGGCACAATAAAGGAATGGGGAATGAGGAGGAACCTGGAAGAGTCCCTGAGTTGAGAAGATAAAGCTGAGAGTCCAAGTAGACCAAACTGGTTAAAATTCATGGAGCAATGTAGAGGAGATCAGAGAGCTACACAAAGAGATCCCTACCAATATGCAGAGGGTCCCCTTTGAGTATTCAGCAGAGCACTTATTTGTGCATGCATGTGAAGAACGGGTGACTGGGGAAAGAACCACCCGAAAGGAATAAAGATAACCGGATCTAATGTGCACACAGGGCTGGGAATAGTGCTTATTACCACAGCCAGACTGGAAAACCTTATGCTTCCTAGGGAGTATACCAAGTATATATAAAGAATACAGAAGGTCTGCCTCAAGAGTGGAAAACAATTAGCCCCGGTTTGATCACTGCTCTGATCCTGTCTAATAATCTGAAAAGCAAAACCTGAAAGGCTCAAATTGTTTTAAGTAACTTAACTGCATTCCAGAACAATGCTCAGGAATATTTATAGGAATAGAAAAATATTCCAGTCATAAAAAAGAATGAGTTCATGTCCTTTGCAGGGACATGAATGAAGCTGGAAACCATCATTCTCAGCAAACTAACACAGGAACAGAAAACCAAACACTGCATGTTCTCACTCACAAGTGGGAACTGAACAATGAGAAGACATGGACACACGGAGGGGAACATCACACTCCGGGGCCTGTCAGGGGGATCGAGGGAAAGGTGAGGGAGAGCGTTAGGACAAATACCTAATGCATGCAGAGCTTAAAACCTAGATGACGGGTTGATAGGTGCAGCAAACCACCATGGCACATGTATACGTATGTAACAAACTGGCACATTCAGCACATGTATCCCAGAACTTGAAGTAAAATTTAAAGTAAATAAAAAAGAAAAATATTCAGCATCCAATAAGGTAAAATTAACAATGTTTGGCATCCAATAGAAAGTTACCAGGTACTTAAAGAAGCAGGAAAATAAGGTTCTTAACGAGGAGAACAATTAGTCAGTTGAAACTGACACAGTCTTGACACAGGTTAGAATTAACAAATGAGGACATTAAAACCTGCAGAATAACTGTAACACATATGTTTGAAAAGTTAAGAAAGAAAAAATTATAAAACCCGATTTAACTACATTGCAGAACAAAGATTAGCAAACTTGGATACATGATAACAAAAACTATCTAAAATAAAACTAGAGAGAAAAAAGAATTTTTGGAAATCTAACAACGCTTTGATGACCTGTGAAACAATTTCAAGTGGCCTAATATATAATTAAATTCCAAAAGGAGAGTAGAAAGGCAGGAGATAGAAAAGAAAATGTGAAGAAGTAACAGCTAAAACTTCTCCAAAGTTTTTGAGAACGGTTACTCACAAATTCAAAATGCTCAAAAAATTCCAAGCACAAGAAACATGTTTTTTAAAAACCTCTCCACCAAAGCATATCAAAATCAAATTGCTAAAAACTAGTTATAAAGAAAAAAATCTTAAAAGCAACTAGAGAAAAATACTTTATGCACCAAGGAACAAAGATTAGGATGACAGCACATTTCTCATGCGAAACAATGTAAGCAAGAAGACGGTGAAGCAACATTTTAAAAGCATTAAGAGAAAAAAATTGAACTGAAAAAACTGAAAGATAAAAAGGAATTTTATAACCAGCAAAAATATATTTCAAAAATAAAGGTGAAATAAGGACCTTTTCAGACATGTGAAAGTAGAAATAATCACCAACAGAATTGTGCTACAAGAAATGTAAAAGGAAGTCCTTTGGGCAGAAGAAAAAGGATACCAAATCTGTATAAAGCAATGAAGATCGCCAGAAATAATAACAACTAGGGAAAATATACAACATTTTTCTTTTTGTTTATATCTCTTTAAAAGATAATTTACTCTTTAAATGAAAAGTAATAACAATAAACACAGTCTGCAGTTTGTAATGTATAAAAATTAAATGTGTCACATCAATAGCACATAGGCTAGGAGGAGATAATTAGAAGTGTAACTACTGTAAGGCTTTTATACTGTAATGAATATGGCATATTATCCCTTGAAGGTAGACTTTGGTAAGTTAAAAATGTATACTGTAAACTTTAAGAAACTAGAAAAATAAGAGCAAATTAGAACTAGAATATATAGAAAAATAAAGATAGGAAATCAATGAAATACAAAACTAACACACACACACACGCACACACACACACAAATAAAGACAAATAAAACTAAAAGCTAGTTCTTAGAGAATAGAACCAGCTTTTCGTTTATTCCATATATGTGGAACATATATGTATATATGTGTGTGTATATATATGTACATATGTGTGTGTGTGTATGTATGTGTGTGTGTGTGTGTGTATATAGTGAAGTTTATTCCAGGAACGTAAGGTTGGTATAACATTAAAAAACCAATATAAATTATATTAGCAAAACAAATAAAGGCAAGGTTGGTATAATTTTCAAAAACCAACATAAACCATATTAACAAACCAATTAAAATCAGCGTCCATTTATGTTCCCCATCTCTACGTTATGGTCCAGAAATTTCCTCAAGGCAGAAATCCAGTACAATATAAAATTCATCCCATTTATTTTCTTTCTTTCATTCACAGTCCTGCACTGCTTAATCAATATCTGAAAACCATTGTTTCATAGTTGTTTATGGCTGGAAGTTAAGTATAATCTTTATTACTGCATGTAGTACCTGTAAACAGAATTCCCAGTCTTTGTCTTTAATTGTAACATTTCTTTTTCTGTTAAACAAATAATTGATACATTATTAAATTCCATATAAATACGGACATATTTGAATTTAAGTGTATCTTTTTTTCTTAAATTTCTTAATTTTTATCCTGCGTTCTTTTTTGTCTTTGTCTTTCTCAGATGAACTGCATATGTCTTATTTATTATCTCTCCTCTACCAACTTTAATTATACATTCATGTATAATTCCTTCAATGGTTATCCCAGAAATTTTAAAAATGCATCAATGACTTACCGCAGTCTGCCTTCTTAATTCTACCACATCTCAATCAGTGAAGGAAAGATTAACCCCATTTGCTTGTTTATAGTTTTTATGCTATTGTTGTCATTGCTTACTTCCACATATGTTGTAAACTCAGAAGATACTAGTTTTTCTTATAGTTAGGATTTGTTTATATTAACTCATATATTTAATTATTTTTCATAATTACTAATCTATTTCTTCCAGTAGTTTTGAAGTTCAACCTAGAATCATTAGTCTAATAATTATTAATATTAATAATCATTAATACAATTTTAATTAATACTTCTAATAAATAGGTGAATCTGTTTTTTCCTGAATAATAAGTGTTCCGGTGATAAAATATTTTGGCTTTTTTCCTAAAAATACTTCTAGTGTCCCTTTATTCTAAAAGTAATTTTTGCTGTTTATAGAATTCTAGATAGGCAGTATTGTTTTATTTAACACTTTGACAATGTCTTTCAATTGCCTTTGGTTTCCATCACTTCTGTTGATAAATCAGCAATAATGTTTTTCACTGCTTGTTGAAAAATGTTGTCCATTGTCTTTTCCAATTTTCTTTCTTTCCCGTTTCTGTTCTCTCTCTTTCTGGGACTCCAGTTACACAAACTTAGACTATTTGATTATGCCCTGCATGTCTCTCATGTTCTCTTCTATTCCTTCCATTCTTGTTCTCTCTTTGCTACAGTTTGGATTTTTCTATTAGTCGGTCTTTAAATTGATTAACCTTGTCTTCAGTCATGTCCAGTCTGGATTTTAACCTAGCCAATGACTTTTTATTTCATAATTTTAAATTATAGAATGTCAAATTCTTTTTTCAAGAATCCAATTCTCAGTTTAATTATCCACATATTTATTTCCTTTCTCTTTTTCTCTATTTTCTTGACAGTATTTTTCAAATATGACATATATATTTTATATATATACACACACATATATTCTTTTGATGGCTATTTTAACATTTGACTTATTTGACAAAAATTATATATACTTATTATGTACAATTTGTTTTAAAATATATATGCATTGTGGAATGGCTGAATTGAACTGATGAACATATACATTACTTCACATACTTCTCTGCAATAAGAATACTTAAAAATCTCTCTTTGCAATTTTCAAGAATACAATATATTATCATTATCTATAGTCACCACGTTGTACAATAAAACTCTTGAACTTATTCTTCCTAACTGAAATTTTAATCTTTACTTCTGAGTTTTTTTTATATTCCACATATAAATAAGGTCATGCAATATTCGTCTTTCTGTGCTTATTTTATTTAACATAATGTCTTCAGTTCCATCCACATTGTTGCAAATGACAGTATTACATTTTTTAAGGCGGAATAGTATTCCCATCGCACTTTCTTTATTCACTCTTCCATTGATGGACACTTACATTGATTCCATATCTTAGCTATTGTAAATAATGCTGCAACAAATGTGAGAACGCAGACATACTGATTTCATTACCTTCAGAGATACACTCAGAGGTGAGATTGCTGAATCATATGGTAATTATATTGTTACTTTTTTTGAGGAATTTCCATGTGATTTTCCATAATGACTGTACTAATTTACATTCCTGCAAATGGTATGCAAGGATTTCCTTTTTTCCCACATCCTCTCCAACACTTATTCTTTCTTTTTGATAACAGCAGTTCTAGCAGGTGTTAGGTGATATGTCATCATGGTTTTAATTTACATTTCCCTGATGATTAGTGATGTTAAACATTTTTTCATATACCTGTTGACCTTTTGTCTGTCTTCTTTAGAGAAATATCTTTTCTGGTCCTTTGCTTGTTTATTAATCAGGTTGTTTTCTTACTATTGAGTTGTTTGAGTCTACTGTATATTTTGAATATTAACATTTTATCAGATGTATGATTTGCAAATATTTTCTCCTATTCTGTAGGTTGTCACTTTGCTCAGTTGATTGTTTCTTTGCTGTGCAGAAGCTTTTTAGTTTGATATAATATAATTTGTCTATTTTTGTTTTTCCTGCATGTGTTTTGGGCTTCATATCCAAAAATTCATTGCCCAGACCAATGTCCTGGAACTTTGCACTCATGTTTTTTCTGACAGTTTTAGTTTTAGGTTGGACATTGAAGTCTTTAATCTACTTTGAGTTTTTATATGACGTGAGATACAGGTCTAATTTCATTCTTATGCATATGAATATCCAGTTGTTCCAACATCATTTATAGATGAGATTGTTCTTTCACCATTGCACATTCTTGGCATCTTTGTAAAAATCAATTTACTGTAAGTGTGTGGATTTATTTCTGGGCTTTGTTCTGTTCCATTGATCTAGATGTCTGTTTTTCTGCCACAACCACACTGTTTTGATTATTACAGTTTTGTAGTAGATTTTCACTCAGGTTGTTTAATATCCACTTTTGTGCTTTTTTGATCAAGATGTGTTGGCCTATTTTCAGGGTCTTTTTTGTGGTTCTATATGAATTTTGAAATTTTTTTTCTTTCATTGAAAAATGTCATTGAGGCTGGGCACGGTGGCTTACACTTGTAATCTCGGCACTTTGGAAGGCCAAGGCGGGTGGGTCACTTGAAGCCAGCAGTTCGAGACCAGCCTGGCCAACATGGCAAAACCCCGTCTCTACTAAAAATACAAAAAAATAGCTGGGTGTGGTGGTACACACCTGTAATCCCAGCTACTCAGGGGGCTGAGGTAGGAGAATTGCTTGAACCAAGGAGATGGAGGTTGCAGTGAGCAAAGATTGCACCACTGCACTCTAGCCTAAGTGACAGAGACTCCATCTCAAAAAAAAAAAAAAAAAGAAAGAAAACAAAACAAAAAACATCATTGGATTTTGATACGGATTGCACTGAATCTTTAGATTGCTTTAGGGAGTATGAACATTTTAACAAAATTAATTTTTTCAATCCATAAACATGAGATATCTATTTATTAGTGTCTTCTATTTATTTCATCAATATTTCAGTTTTCAGTATACAGATCTTTCACCTCTTTGGTTAAATTTATTTCAAAGTATTTTTTGTAGCTATTGTAAATGAGATTTTTTCTTGATATCTTTTTTTGATTGTTTCTAGCATACAGAAATACTACTTATTTTTGTATGTTGATTTATATCCTGCAACTTTAATGAAATCTTTTATTCTAAGAAGTTTTAATGGAGTCTTTTGGGTTTTTACGTATAGAATCATGTCATCTGCAAATAGGGACAATTTAGGTTATCCCTTTCCAATTTGGATGCCTTCTTTTCTTTCTCTTGAATAATTTCTCTGGATAAGACTTCCAGTACTATGTTAAACAGAAGTGTTAAGAATGGACATCCTTGTCTTATCCCTGATTTTGGAGGAAATATTTTCAACTATTCACCATTTAGTATGGTGTTAGCTGTAGGATTGTCATATATGTCTTTTACTGTATTGAGGTACATTCATTCTGTACCTAATTTGTTGAGAATTTTTATCATGAAGGGATGAACTTTGACAAACAAATTTTATGCAACAATTGAGGTAATCATATAATTTTTGTCCTTCATTCTGTTAATAATGTATATCACATTTATAGATTTGCACATATTGAATCACCCTTGCATCCCTGGCATAAATCCCACTTGATCATGGTGAATGATTCTTTTAATGTGCTGTTGAATTTGGTTTACAAGCGTTCCGTCAAGGATTTCTGCATCTATGTCATCAGGGATATTGGCCTGTAATTTTGTTTTCTTGTAGTGTTCTTATCTGTCTTTGGTATTAGGTAATGTTAGCCTCTTAAAATGAGTTTGGAAGTATTCTTGCTTCTTTGATTTTTTGGAAGAGTTTGAAAAGGATTGGCGTTAGGTTTTTAAAAAATATTTGGTAGATTTCAGAAGTGAAGCCATCAGGTACTGAGTTCTTCTTTGATAGGAGACTTTTAATTACAGATTCAATCTCCTTACTTGTTATTGATCTGTGGAGATTTTTTATTTCTTCATGATTTAGTCTTGGTAGATTACACCTGGAAATTTATTCATTTTTTCTAGGTTATCTAATTTGTTGGCATAAAATTGTTCATAGTAGTCTTTTATAATCCCTTGTATTTCCGTGCTAACAGTTGTAATGTCTCCTATTTCATTTCTTCATTTGAGTGTTCTCTCTTTTTCCTTAGTATAGCCAAAGATTTGTCAATTTTGTTCAGCTTTTCAAAAAAATCAATCCTTAGTTTCATTGATCTTTTTTATTGCTTTTACTCATTTCTGTTTGATTTACTTCAGGTTTTATCTTTATTATGTCTTTCTTTCTGTGGACTTTGTTTGTTCTTGTATTTCTACTTCCTTGAGATGTAATGTTGTTTATTTGCATTTTTTCTTTTTTGAGGTAGGTGTTTATTGCTATAATTTTCCCTCTTAAAACTGATTTTACTGCATCCCATAAGTTTTGGTATGTTGTGTTTTTACTTTTGTCTCATGATAGTTTTACTTTCTTCATTGACCCATTAGTTGTTCAGGGTCAGGTTGTTTAATTTCCATGTATTCATGAATTTCCTGAAATTTCTCCTGTCATTTATTTCTAGTTTCACACTTTTGTAGTCAGAAAAGATATTTGATAAGATTTCAATCTTCTTAAATTTGTTAAGACTTGTGGCCTAACTTATAATCTATCCTAGAGAATATTCTGTATAGACTTAAGAAGAATGTATATTCTGCTGCTGTTGTATGGGCTATTCTATATATGCCTGTTAGGACCATTTGGTCTAATGCGTATTTTAAGTTTGATGTTTGCTTATTGACTTTCTGTCTGGATGATCTGTCCATTGCTGAAAGTTGAGCATCGAAGAAATCTTCTATTATTATGGTCTTACAATCTATCTCTCCTTTCAGGTCTATTAATTGTATTATTTTTTAATATTTTAATATTTTTTAATATTTTAATATTTTTATATGTTTTGATGTTCAGATGTTGGGTGCATATATATTTATAATACTTATATCCTCTTGATAAATTGGCACATTATTATATAATAATCTTCTTTCTCTTGTTTTACAGTTCTTGACTAAGTCTGTTTTATCTGACATAACTTCTCCTGCTCTCTTTTGGTTTTGAGTTGCATGAAATATCTTTTCCTATGCCTTCATTTTCAGTGTATATGTGTACTTACATGTGAAATGAACCTCTTAGGGAGCTTCTGGTCGAATCTTTTTTTATCCACCCAGCCATTTTATGTCTCTTGAATGAAGAATTTAATCCATTGAGTGTAAACTCAAGGGAATTATTATATGTATTGACTTACTGCTGCCATTAATAATTTTCTAATTGTTTTATAGAATCTTTGTTCTTTTCTTCTCTTGCTCTCTTCTTTTGTGATTACATGATATTTTTCTAGTGATATAGTTTGCATCTTTTGTGTCTATTATGGGTTTATGTTTTGTGGTTACCATGTGACTTGCAAAACATCTTAGATATAATAGGTTATTTTAAGCTGATAACTTAATTTTGATTTAAAAAAATCCCCCACTACACTTTTACTTCAAATCTTCAGCCTTTTAAATTTTAATGCCACAGTTTACATCTTTGCATATTATATATTTTGTAACAATATTGTAGTAATCATTTTTAATAATTTTGTCTTTTAACCTTTGTACTAAAGATATGTGATTTGCACACAACCATTACAGTATTATTCTAAATTTGACTGTGTACTTACTATTATAGTATGTTTTTGTGTTACTAATTACCATCCTTTTCTTTTCCATCTTGAAGAACTACCTTTAGCATTTATTGTAAGACAGGTCTGGTGGTAATGAACTCCATCAGTTTTCCTTTGTTTAGGAATCTTTATCTCTCCTTTATTTCTGAAGAACAACTTTGCTGGCTACAGTATAATTCTTTGGCAGTTGTTTTACTTCACCCCCTTGAATATGTCATCCCACTCTCTCACAGCCTGTAAGGTCTCTGCTGAGAAATCTGCTGCTAGCCTTATTAGAACTCCCTTATATATCAATTGTTTCTGTAACACACTTTGTTTATAACATGCCTTGGTGTAGTATAGTTTAAATGGAATTCAGTTGGAGACCTCTAACCTCCCTGTACCTCTATAAATATTTTCCCAGATTTGGAAAGTTTACTGCTAATATTTCTGTAAATAAGCTTTCTATCCCTTTGCCTTTCCCTTCTCCTTCACTAACTTCTATTACTCATACATTTGCTCTTTTGATGCTGTTCCATAAATCTCATGAGTTTTCTTTAGTTTTTATTTTTTCTCCTCTGACAGTATATTTTCAAATAATCTGCCTCCAAGTTCACAGATTCTTTTTTCTGCTTGATCAATTCTACTGTTGATGCTCTCTATTGCAGTTTTTCATTTATGGCATTTTCCAGCTCCAGAATTTGTTTTTGGTTGTTTTTATTTCAATCTCTCTGCTAAATTTCTTATTTTGGTAATTTATTGTTTGTCTGATTTCCTCAATTGCTTTTTTGTATTTTCCTGAAGTTCACTGAGCTTCCTTAAATCAATTATTTTGAATTCTTTGTCCAGTAGTTTGCATATCTCAATTTTTTTTTCAGTTTGGCTACTGGGAGATTATTATACCCTTTGGGTGTCGTTATATCTCTTTGGTTTTTCTTGTTTCTTATTGCCTTATGTTGATGTCTGTGCATTTGAAGAAGTCAAGACTTATTCTAGACTTCGCAGGCTGGCTTTATCTAAGAAACCCCTTTCCAAGTCAATCTGTCTAGAGATTCCAGGCAGGTTATCTGACATGTTCTAAGTGTGGGCTTGCTATTTGAATCTTTGGGCAGGCTGTACCGGTGCCTGTGTTGGCAGGTGGATGAGCCTGATGCTTGGGTCTGCAGGGTTAGTACTATATGCTGGATCCACAGGTAGACCTGTTGGTTGGATATGCAGGGATGGGCCTGAAGTCTGGATCCATAAGGGAGGTCTTGGAGCCTGTATACATAAAGGCCAGGCTGAAGCCTGGGTCCACAGCACTGCACCTAGTGCTGGAATAGGCCTTGAGCCTGAGTTTGTAAGAGATGGCTAGGTGTGTGGCGGGCTTGGCACCTGGCTCCACTGGGATGGACCCAGAGCCTTAGTCCATGGCAGCTTCCTTGTAGCCTTAGTCTTCAGAGGTGTTCTTATGAACCTCAGTCCATGGTCTGGCCTGGAATTCAGGTCTACTGGGGTGAGCCTTGACTCTTGGTCCTCTGGAGCCTGAAGCTATGGGGCCTGGCCTGGAGCCCTGGGCCAACATAAAGCCTAAATCTGTGGGAGATCATCTGGAGCCATTATTGAAGACATTGGCCTGGTTCTTGGATGGGCTGTCCTGGACCCTAAGACAACAGGCATTGTTCTGAAGCCTGCATCCACTGGGGCCAGCCTAGAGGCTGGGTGTGTAGGTACTCACCAAGAGGTTAAGTCCCTGAGGGTGGCCTGGTTCTTAGGGCCTCAGGGGCTGACCTGGAACCTGGGCACAAAGGGAAAGTCCTGGGACCTGGAGGGAAAGCCTGGGGACTGGCTTCTCCAGTGCTTGGGTCTACTGGGACTTACTTGAACTATGAGTCTGCTGGAACACTAGGGTGTAAGGACTGGTTTGGAGGGTAAAGACATAGAGACAAGCCTGGCACTGGGAAGACCTGGAGCCTGGTCCACAGGGGTTGACGTGGCAATGGGTGAACCTAAATTCTGTATCTACAGGGGCGATCTGGAGGCAAAGTCCATAGGTACTGAGTTAGGCCTGAAGTCTTGGTCCTTGGGAGCCAGTCTGTTTCTGGGGGCAGCTCAGAGCCTGAGGCCAGTGATCCGGCCTGGCTTTGGGGTAGGCCTGGAGCCAGATTCTGCAAGAGCTGTGCTGGTATAGGGGCAGAAGCCACTTGGGCCTGCCTGACACTGGGGCTGGTCAGATCCTGGGGCCACTAGGGTCAGCCTGGTGGTAGGGTAGGTGCAGTGACCCAATCCATCAGGGAGGCCTGGAGCCTGGGCCTGCAGGATCCTGTCTGGGTCAGGGTGAACTTGAAGACTCAGTCTTGAGTATCAGCTTGGAGTCTGGAGTCACAGCAGCTGATCTGGTGCTGCGTGGGCCTACAGCCTACATTTCCAGGGGCTGTCCTGGACATTGGGTTCACTGGTGCTGGCCTGATGTCTGGTGCTAGAGTGGACCTAAAGCCTGAGGCTGTGGGGGCCAGCCTAGTGCTGTGGATAGTTAGAGCCTTGTGCCACTGGAGTCAGCCTGGCAGTGGGGCAGAGACTAAGTCTGCTATGCAGTCTTGGAGCCTAGGGCTGCAGGATTTAGCCTACTGCTGGGATAGACCAGGAAGTTCAGTCTGCAGATATTGGCCTAGAGTTTGGAGCCACAGGGGCCTGCTCAGTGTTGATTTTTACTCGGGTTTTGGGGGTCTGAAGCAAATTCCGGTGCTCACTTTCCTCTCCTTTCCCCGTGCAAAGAGTATCTCTCTCCATGTTGTGCTGCCCGGAGTTGGAGGAGAAGCAATGTGGGCAAGGTAAAACTGTCCTTCCTACCCTCTTCAATGTGTCTTTTAAAAAATGTCTCTGCTACACCTGGGTGCTATAATCTCTCACCTTGTTTCCTTAGCTTTTTGAAGGTTTTTTGGGGATGGATAGTTGTTTGAATTGATGTTTCTATGGCAGGAGGAGTGCAGGAAAGTCCTATTCTGCCATCTTGCTGATGTCCCTTGGTGCATATCTATATCTTATCAATCACATTTTTCTGACTCTTGAATGTTTACTAACTTTTTTTGCTTTATATCAAACATTATGAATAAAAGAACCATAGAATCCGTGTATGATGTTATCTTCTAATGTGGATGATTTGATCTTTCCTCTGGCAGTCTGATACCCTCAATCTAATAAAGAATTGAGCTGGAATAAGAGCAAATTGATGTCTAGTAAAACTCAGTCTACTTTTGTTTTTTGTTTGTCAATGAATATTTAATAACAAGGTTTACAACATATGCTTATCTAATATATAATTTTATGTCACTGCAGCAAAAGAAAACATCTTGTTCACTGGGTAAAAAAGACCTGCTTTATATGTGTTCAATTCAGTGCAATTAAAAAATACTGTGATTATCATTTCAAAGCTTCAGAATAGGTGCCAGTGTTCTTTCCTTTTTCATATGGGAAAAATTGCCATTTTTAAAACTAACATTTCTTGAAAATCAAAACTACAGTTCTGAGCAAGAACCTTGGGAAGAAAGAGCAACACATCAGCAAATGCTTGGACTCTGAGTTGAGCCCTGGACTTATATTTAATTGGACTTCTGCCATTGCCACTGCTACTGCACTAGCACCTGGAACTCACAGCCATCATCAATAGCTTTTTTTGACAGCCCTCAAGCCATCTCTTACAGCATCTTTGATTTGAGTGTGTGTATACTTATTTGGTTCTTTGGCCAATAATGTGACAGAGCTAGGATAGTTATATTTCTCAATAAAGGTGAATTTTTCCTCTCCAAATGTATACTCACAGAGAAGTCCTGCATATCCTACATAGTCAGGAGTTAGGTCATCAAAAGAATTAGAGTCACCTCATCACAAGACAAAAGACAGCCTCTCTATATTTCTCCTTTAAGCTCTGTGCAGAGCTACTATGCCTTCTTTTTCAAGAGCACCTAAGCAAAAGGTCAATTCCATTTTGATAAATAATAACAAATCCTTTAACTGAATCACCACAAACTTTTTCAGTTCTATTATTTTTAAACTCTATATCCAATGAATTTTCTTTCACCTTCTACTAGTTTTTCTCTGTCTTCCTGGCTCTTGTAAAAAAAAAAAAAATCCAGAAGATAGTCCATACTTATGCAAAAAAGAAAATTCTTTTATTAGATTCACATCAATTTTGTGAATGTGAATTTTGATTTTACCTGAACATATTTGTTTTTGGGGGTTTTTGTTTTAGGTTTGGGGCACATGTGACCATTTGTTACATAGGTAAACACATGTCGTGGGGGTTTGTTGTACATATTATTTCATCACCCAGGTATTAGGCCTGGTACCCAATAGTTATCTTTCCTGCTCCTCTCCCTCCTCCCACCCTCCCCCCTCAAGTAGATCCCAGGGTCTGTTGTTTCCTTCTTTGTGTTCTTAAGTTATTATTTAGCTCCCATTTATAAGTGAGAACATGTAGTATTTGGTTTTCTGTTCCTGCATTAGTTTGCTAAGGATAATAGCCTCCAGCTCCATCCATGTTCCCACAAAATACATAATCTCATTCTTTTTATGGCTGCATAGTATTCCATTGTGTGTATGTACATTTTCTTTATCCAATCTGTCATTGATGGGCATTTAGGTTGATTCCGTGTCTTTACTATTGTGAATAGAGCTGCAATGAACATTTGCATGCATGTGTCTTTATGGCATAATGATTTATATTCCTCTGAGTATATGCCCAGTAATGGGATTGCTGGGTTGAATGGCAGCTTTGCTTTCAGCTCTTTGAGGAATTGCCATACTGCTTTCCACAATTATCGAACTAACTTAAACTCCCACCAACAGTGTATAAGTGCTCTCTTCACCACAACCTCACCAGCATCTGCTTTTTTTCCCACTTTTTAATAATAGCCCTTCTGACTGATGTAAGATGGTATCTCATTGTGGTTTTCATTTGCATTTCTCTGTTAATCAGTGAAGTTGAGCTTTTCGTCATATAATTGTTGGCCACATGTATGTCTTCTTATGAAAAGTGTCTATTCATGACTTTGCCTACTTTTTATGGGATTTTTTTCTTGTAAATTTGTTCAAGTTCCTTATAAATGCTGGATATTAGACCTTGGTCAGATGCACAGTTTGTGAAAATTTTCTCCCATTCTGTAGGTTGTCTGTTCACTTTGTTGATAGTTTCTTCCGCTTTTATTGCAATTGCTTTCAGCATCTTCATCATGAAATCTTTGCCCATGCCTATGTCCTGAATGGTATTACTTAGGCTTGTCTTCCAGGGCTTTTACGGTTTTGGGTTTTACTTTTGTCTTTAATCCATCTTGAATTAGTTTTTTATATGGTACAAAAAAAGGGGTCCAGTTTTAATCTTCTGCATATGGCTAGCCATAAAACTACATGGTTCTGAAAGAAAGCTTAGGGGCAAAGATTTCTTAGAGAAAACACAAAAAGCAATAATCTTAAAAGGAAAAACTGATTAATTGTACATCATCAAATTTTAAACCTTCTGCTCTTAAGGAACACCATTTAAAAATATAAAGCAAGGATTATATTCAAAGAAAAGTATATGCATATTAATTTGTAACTTGAATGTATAAAGAACTTCTTTATATTAATAATAAAATGTAAACAATTGAATAAAAATGGGTAAAAGATCTGGACAAATACATCAGTAAAGAAGATATATTAGTGGAAAATAAGCAATTAAAAGGTGTTCCGTGTCATTAGTCATCAGGGAAATTCCAATTAAAACCACAATGAGCTATCACAAAACACATTATAATGGCTAAAATTAAAACAACAAGCATATGAATTACTATATATATAGATAGATAGATAGATAGATATTCTTTGAGATGGAGTCTTGTTCTATAGCTAGGCTGGAGTGCAATGGTGCGATCTTGGCTTACTGCAACCTCTGCCTCCCGTGTTCAAGCAATTCTCCCGCCTCAGCCTCTCGAGTAGCTGGGATTACAGGCACGTGCCATCATGCCCGGCTAATTTTTGTAGAGATGGAGTTTCACCATGTTGGCCAGGCTGGTCTTGAACTCCTGACCTCAGGTGATCCACCTGCCTCGGCATCCCAAAGTGCTGGGATTATAGGCGTGAGCTACCGCGCCTGGCCAAATTCGTAATATACATAATAACATAGGCCAATTTCAAAATGTTATTTTGTGTGAAAAAATTTTTATACAAAATATTGCATTCTCAATGATTCTATTTATATTAAGTCCATGAATATGCAAAGCTAATTAATGGTAGTAGCAATCAGAACTATGGTGTGATGTTGTGTGGGCTGTGGGAGCTGACTAAAATGACCAGGAGGAAAAATTCTGTAAATTGGGAAGATATTCTTTATCTAGATTGAGGTGCTGATTACGCTATTGTACATCTTTATCAAAACTCATCAAATTGTATGTTTAAAATATTAATAGTTCACCCAAAATTTTTTTAAAAAATGATCTATGGTTAGCTATAAAATCTCTGCTTTGTTTTGATTTATCATTAACTGTGAAAATATGATTTGTCTCTCAAATTAATGAATATTTTTGAGCCTGAAGTAAAAGCCTCAGAAATAAAATCTTACAACCATTACTTTTCAGATGAGGAAGCTAAACTACAGATAAGTGGTTTTTTAGTGACTTTCCCAAAGTCACTAAAAAATAAAAAGGCAGTATTCAAAGGAGGGAAAAAAAGAAGCTTCTCGTTCTAATCCAAATACATTTTATAATACACCACAGCATACTTATCAAAAACAATTTAACATATTCAGACTAAATTTATAAAACCATTTGAAAAGGTAAAATAAAATATCGGGGGTAAATTTGAGCAAGAATCACAGCCTTATTAACTAACAAAATGGAATCCAGATATCAAGTCTTAGTAATTAAGCACCATGGTCTAGTCTAAAACTATACTTCCATGATTTTTTAAAAGTTAAACAATATCATGAAATGATCATATTGCCCGCAATTCTCAGTTAGAATTTATAAATTTGGAGTTGAAAAGAGTTTTATCCTACATATGATAATGCACTATAGTCATTCAGCCCTTATTAGGTGGTTCATATGTGGCAGCACAGTCCCAGATTATTTTTTGGATGGAAAATTGAGTACTGAGGCATTGCTTAGGATCATTTTAACTAGTTTACCTTTCCTATCCACTTAATTCTAAGTTAGCATTATAGAGAATTTAATTTTGTAGCTTATTTTTAAAAGATTATAGTAGTTTTGGAGTAAGCCGTGAAACCTAGATACCAAGAAGTGACGTTAGGAATCCATTTTGTTGTCAGATAGAGTTGTGAGTCTGTTTTGTCTCAATCATTTTATTCCACCTTTAAATTACTTTATAATTTTAGCTTAGATTTTTTGATAAATATACTATGATGAAACATTGAAAGTGTTGAGTATTGAGGCTCCAAATGAATCAAATTCCCTGTACAATTAGTGATTCTTTGTGATGTGTAACTGGATAAGAATAACAAGTTTCTCAGATAATAAACAGATTGAGGGTCTGATCCCTGTCTCTCTCACTGATAACTTATTCTGAGATGACTAATAGGGATGAGGCCAAAGATAAGGATTTTAGTCTGCTATTTTAGCTACAGCGTTCCAATCGGTAGTAACTTCCAGAGTGGCAATCACAACTGCTCTCTGTAGGGTCAGCTACTAGATGCAGTGTACTTCTGGGATATTGCTTCTCTGCAACATCGTCTTTATGTCAGCAGTTGGACAGCTCCGAATGATGCTCTTGCTCAGCCTCAGCACCACATCTAGAGGTCGCTTTCCAACTGGGTGCATGCTGATCCCCCTGGCATAGCGGCTTTCAAACTTTATCCTGAGAGAATGCACTTTATATTCTGACCCAGTGAACACGACATGCATGTATAAAATCAAAACAAACATCACAAGATAATACCCTTATTACACGTGATGGTGTATTTCGTTTAATTCTTAAATGAGAATCATAACAACCTGAATTGGTTTCATGATCAATAATGGTTAACAACATGCTGTCTGTAAAACATTGATCTAGAGGTAGTAATTATACAGGAGGATTAACCTCAATAAAAGATTTTTTAAAAGAATTTCGACAAATTTCAGGTTTAGAGAAGTGATTGATTTCCAACATTCTGAACATGAAGAATATATACATACATGGAACCTAATCAGGGCTTCTTTTAACAGAGAAGGTAGAAAATAACACAGCTAAGAATTATATACTAATGCCTTCTTCATCATCAGTGGGTATTTTTGGTAACATTTTTGTTTATTTCAGCATACATCTTCATATTATTGCTTCATCCCCAAACTATTTACTTCTTGTGTTGATATATACAACATGGCTAGTACAGGTACGGTGGCTCACACCTGTAATCCCAGCACTTTGGGAGGCCAAGGTGGGCAGATCATTTGAGGTCAGCAGTTCGAGACCAGCCTGGCCAACATGATGAAACACCGTCTATAATAAAAATTACAAAAATTAGCCGGGCATAGTGGTGCATGCTTATAATCGCTGCTGCTCAGGAGGCTGAGGCAGGAGAATTGTGTGAACCTTGGAGGTGGAGGTTGCAGTGAGCCAAGATTGCACTACTGTACTCCAGCCTGAACAACAGAGCAAGACTCCATAAAAAAACTTCTTTTTAATTTTCTCTTATAATGAAAATGTAGTTTAATTTAGTATTTTGGAATTACACACTTCTAAGGGTGATGGTTCCAAATCTTTCATTAAGTTCAACAAAGGAAGAGTTTCCTCCGGTATCAGAACAGATCTTGGCCTTTAAATGAGCAACCCAAGAAGTCACTGGCCTTGTATTGGGCCAGCTGTATGAAAAACAAAAACTTAGAAACTAGATTCACAGCAGCACAGTGAGATGCATGTGCTATGAAACACAGAGCCATATCTCCCAGCTCACTCCAGAGCCTATGATCACTGGAAGGACTGACGGATGGAATCATTTGCTATATCTGTTAGAATTGTGTTTGCCTGCAACTAACCACAAAGGCAACAGAAAACAAAAAGATTCCAAAGGGTTAAGCAAATAGGGATTGATTTTATCTATGTAATAAGAAGAGCATATACAGGCACTCTACTGCTTGCTTTGGGGCTCAACCATGCCACCAAAGACCCATCTCTATCTCTTTATCTGACCACCCTTGTCATTAGCACGCTGGCCTTTGTCCACATTCTTAGAGGCCTGTTGGTCTCAAGATGACTACTTAGGCCTCATGTTCACGTCTTAGATGGAAAATGGGGAAGGGCAAGTAAGCTTAAAGAAAAGTCTCCCAGGGAGACTATGAAGGCTGCTCTCCCTAGAGACTTTTATAGACATCTTATTGTCAGAACATGGCCATTCCCTTGCTGCTAGTGAAATCAAGTGCTTTCCGTGAGGCATAGTGGTGTCCTGCGCTATGAGAAGGGAAATGAAAACTGACAAATAATTCTGTCTCTCTCTCTCTCCTCTCTTGTGTGTATGTATGTATGTGTGTGTTGTTCTTTCTCAGTCTCTCAATTTTTTTTTCTGAGCACATATAGTTAAGTTTTGGAAAATCAACTGTATGTATGACATAATCCCACTATACTTCACTCGTGGATTAATTTATAGATATATGAGAGAAGGACTGGGAAGAGAATTAAAATTTGCTGAGTATCTAAAATGGGCTAAACAAATTGTTAGACCTTTTTTTATATGTGTGTGTGTGCATATATAGACAGATGTAGATGGTACAGATAGTGTGTGGTGTGTATATACCTTTCTCATAGGTTTTTATAAGACATATACACACACACACACACACACGTCTTACAGACACACACCAATATATACAAAAACCTATGACAAAGGCATAATTATGCCTATGCTACATACTGGGAAATTGATGCTCAGATTAAGAAAGTTGCTTGCAGCCTCTTAGCTAGACAGCGGCAAAAGTAGAGTCAAGATTCAGACATAATTCTGTCTGTAATCCATACTGCTTTAAAACTAGAAGATAGAAGAAGCAAGAGAAAATATGCCTGCAGTGTTTTGCAGTCTGGACAAAATTTTAAATCTATCGTAACTGAGGCATTCAAGTCACTAAGACAATATATTTAGCCAGAAAATAGCCTCCTGTGCCCAATAGTTCATATGCAAGTTTTGAGTATCTTCCAAGCCCAGTTCTAATGTGACAGGGGCTCAGATGACTTGTTGCCAAGAAAGCAGCAGGGCTACATTTTTTATTGGACTGACTAGCTGTTCTGATGTCACTTAGGAACAGCCTGAGAGCAAATGCGTCTTCTTGCTCCTGTTTCCTGAATCCCAAATGGACATGGTTTTTGTCAGAGCCTCATGACAGGCATAGTTTTGGCACAGATCCCAGAGCCACCATGTGGCCACCACAGCCCTCAAACTCTTTCCACTTTGGCATAGTGAAAGCAGAATCTGTTCTGAATTGAAACGGGAGCTCTACATTGTTTCCCAGAGGGAGAGATGGTGGACAGCAAATAAATAAATTTCACTGATAACAAAATAGAGCTTGCAAATTTCATCACTAGGGACTTTAGAAATGTTTCAGATACTGTTTATTTAACACAGTCTCTGGGATGATTTTTACCATACTCCGCAATGTGTAGGGCATGCACAGAATAATAGTTTTCTTTTGCATAATGTACAACTGTTTAAAGCTATGTTATCTCTGGGAAAAAAATGAGACTGATCCACTGAAAAAATGCAATAAGAAATCGATTTAGCTTAAAAATGAATTGGGTTCAACATAAATGTGTAAAACAACAGCCAGAATATTTACATCTCATCTCCTTTAAAAAAAAACCTGGGTGAGCTCTCACAGTCATTTGAAAAGCTAATACTGTCTTCTCATTATTATCTAGTTACTGGTATGCTGCTTCTACTACCTGTAATGATCAATTTGTGTGGTAGTATCATACACTATTTATTTAAGTGACAGGGAAAATGATGATTATCCTTCTTCCTTGTAGTTAATGCTCATTGAGACTAATTCTTTTTGAAGAAGTTGAGAACTGAGCTATGAAGGAGAGAAACTGCATTATTTTCTGAAGGACTGGAGAATATCTGCATTCAAAGCCAAATAGGACACTTTGCATTAGTGGCCATAAATAGGAAGTTGGAATGACAAATTAGAGGTGACCATTAGACCCCCAAACCTGCCTTTTAAGGGTCTGAAAATCAGATGGATAAGTAGAGAGGCATTGATCATGAATGTTCCCATGCAGATCAGAAATAAAGGAAAAGCTAAGAATTTTTTCTTGATATTCCATGAATGTGCCATTTTATTCTGTGTTCCTCTGAGTGAAAATGAAGGAAAGAAGAATTCTTTACAGAGCCCTGACTTAGTGTTTTTCAAGGCACTTTACATACTTTTCTTTATCCCCATAGGAGATAGGTATTATTACTTCCATTTAACAGAAAAGGAAACAGAAGTTATAAGTGGCAAAAAAACTTACGCATGGTTTCAAGATTAAAAAAAATAGAGTTTTAATACAAACGCAGATTAGACTATTTCCAGAGCCATTTTCTCTCCTCTATATCATGCTCCCAGATAGGGAAAAAATTAATTTCCTCATTAGAACCAATTGTAAGAGATGGATAGCAACATTGCTATGGCAGAATATTTGTTTGAAACCTCATATTGTACAATAGGAATGAATAAGCTGAAGGGTATCACGAAGAAAGATAACCAGGATGGGTAGGATTTTGGACATTATGACAAAGAAAAGCCAAAGAAAGGGTGGAAGTGTAGATGATCAAGGAACTTGGTGAGCATCTTAAAGGTAAGAAAGGCTTACACAGGGAAGGCTATTCTGATGGCTGTTAGAAAGAAGCAGATGTCAGCCCACCACTGGAAATGATTTATTGTAATTCGATTATATTTTTAAAGTGGAACAGGTTATATCATATGGTGCTGACACAGAGACTTAACAATCTTGTATCTAAGAGGCTGAAGAGAGGACTTCTGCAGTGGGTAGATTAAATGAGATGACCTCTATTGTATATCTCACCATTATTCTTTTATGCTATAAATTATAATTCTGTATGAGCTAGGAGCAGTGCATGACCTTTGCTTTTGGTGTAGAGGTATTACTGGTATCAGCAGTCCTAGAGCCCAAAGAGAGAGGATACAGGGAAGTGAGCAGCAAAAAAGAACATGAATAAAGGAATGCTTTTGTCAAGAAGGCAAGTAAGAAAAAGAATTCTTAAAGATGCTGCCTTCTTACATTAGATATTCTTGAAAACAAAGAATCAGGAGTTTAGAAATCCATACTTCTAGATCAACAAAAGGAATCAGGGAGAAAGGCAGGATTAGATGCAAATATTACATTGTAAAACTGAAAGCAGTCAGGCTAGATTTTAGGATTGTTTGAGTGTAGTGATCATGTCTTAATCTTCCACTTGTCCAATTCAGCACCTACCACCTATTCTTTAGACATAGAATATAGTAAACATTCATAGAATCTCCTAAAAGGAGATAAAACTTAACAAAAGACAAAATTCCAATAAATGAGAAGAAATTATAGGGAATTATGAGCATGATGCAAAAGAAACATTTTATTCTGTGCATACCTACCCCTTCTGGACATCAAAATCTCTATGGAATATAAACTGATTTTATGCCTAGAAAAGAAGATGTTATGGAATCTTTGACTGGGACAGAGATATATGAAAGAGATAGAGGTAAGCCTGCACCCACTATGTGAAGGCAACAGCATAGGATAGATATAAATATTTTTGTTAAACCAGTCCCAGCACTCGGGGAATGCTATTTCCACCTACCCCCTTAAATGGAGTAGTGATACAGGGAATTCCTTAAGTATATGCTTCCATACATTGCTCTTGTGACCCTGTCAAAGTGATCTCAGTTCCTTGGGTCAGGATTGGATTTCTAAGCCAGAGGCTGCTATCTGTGGGCTGGCCAGTAGTCTCTCAGGTGGTTTGGTATTAGAGGTCTATCAGCAGGTACACTCTTCACTGACGGTTAGCCTAATCAGTAAGTTTTAGGATAGTCAGATTTATCAAATAAAAAATAGGACTCCCAATTAAATTAGAATTTCACATAAATAATGAATCATTTTCTAGTGTATGTTGCTAATTTGCAGGGGTCATATCTATAGAAAAATGTATTTTCCATTTACCTGCAATTAAAATTTAACTGAGCACTTTGTATTTACCTGACAGCTCGCTCAAGACAGAAAGTATTGCAGTAATAGAGAAGAGAAGTCATAGGAAATATATAGATGAATAAAGTTCATGAACAGGAAGCCACAATCACCTACTGCTGGGAGGAATAAAGTTACCCAGTGTCACTAGAGCTGCTGCCATGCCAAGATGCGATGCTACCTCTAAGCAACATCCCAGCTCCTCAGATCTAGTGAGGTTCTGCTTAGATGATTACTCAGACTTTCTATGTCTCCATGATTTTTTGCAATAAACCCCCATTAACTGAGGGAATCTGAGTGCATTTTTTTTATTGGCAACTGAAGAGACTATAATTGCCACAGACACTGTTATTTGCCTACTTAATATTCATTCCCTCTTTTTCCTTACTATCAAAATTCTAATTTTAGCTGGGACATGAATGTGCTTACAGGATCTAAATCAAGTATGACAATCTAATTTCATTTTCACAGCCTCTCTTGTAGCTAGAGAGGCCTATATAACCTGATTCTGATCAATGAGACCTATCTGGATGTGGTTTCTGGGAAAGTTTTGCCTTTCCCAGAAAAAAAAAAGGACAGATGTTGCTGATGTGATCTCTCCCACCACCTTTTCCCTGCATCAAATAAGAACTGATATCTTGAATAGCAGCAGCCTTCATGTGACCACGATGCTGTTGCATAAAAAATGAAAGCAATATGCAAAATGATAGCATTATTGAGCAGTGGAAATAGTACCAGCAACCACCTTCTAATGGTTATATGTTTTGTTATCTAAGAAAAACAATCCCTCCTTTGCTTATGCCACTATAAATTGGGATTTCTGTTACTTGCAGCCAAATATAACCTTAACTGATAAAACAAAATTATGCTAGGATCCACTGAACATACCTCACTTCAAGTTTCTAGCAAATTATCACAAATAAGAAGACAGGATTGTCCCCCGAATATGCTGATATTATTTGGATGTTTGTCCCCTCCAAATCTCATGTTGAAAGGTGATTCCCAGGGCTGGAGGTGTGGCCTGGTTGTAGGTGATTGGATCATGAGGGCAGAACCCTCATGAATAGTTTAGCACCATTTCCTTAGTGATAAGTGAGTTCTCACTCAGCTCACCAGAGATCTGGTTGTTTAAAAGAGTCTGGGAACTCTGCCTTCTCTCTTTGTTACTCTCTATCTTGCCATATGACATGCTTGCTCCCACTTTGCTTTCCACCATGCTTGGAAGCTTCCTGAGGCCCTCAGTAGGAGCAGATGCTGCAGCCATGCTTGTACAGCCTGAAGAACTAGGAGCCAATTAAAACTCTTTTCTTTATAAATTACTCCATCTCAGGTATTTTTTATAGCAATGCAAGAACAGACTGACACATATTTCACGAACATTTCTGACTTCATAACTCTTTTTATAATTGCTCCTATGCAGAATTCTCTTTCCTCTCCACTTATCTGAATTGCTTTTTGTTAAGTCTTATTTCTGAGAGATTCTATTATCTTGGCCCACATTGATTCTCTTCCTATTCTGAATCTGATGGTATTTACAGCCTAGAGTCTAAAACATTCATTTCATGCATGAGGACAGCAAACTCTGTTGTTTTATCACTTGATTCCTATGCTGTTATATATGCAACATATCCCTTTATTGGGTGACAAACTTCTGGAGGGCAAACATATACATATACTTCTTGTGTTTTGAGTGTCTACCATGGTGTTTGCTAGGTATAAACATTAGATAAATGTTTATCTTGACAATGAGAGCAATGATAATGTTGTTGGAAAATATTTAGAGGTAATTTGATAGGATCTTTGGTCATGTGTGTTCCAGAGAATATGCCAGACTAGGTGCATTTACCAATACAGCCATGTAGCCTGAGGGAGAACCAAGGAAAGCAGAAGGTTATCAGATATGTGGCTTTGGCAAATAAATTAACATCTGTAAACCTTCTCTTCTGTAAAATACAGTGTTACTATAAAGATTTAAAATAATGTTGGTAACCATCCCCCAATGCCTGTGGCATACTAGGCATTAACATCATTAGAATTTAGCTTTGATCTCCTAAAACATACGCTAACCAAATTATAGGCTCTTCTGGCAGAGTTGAGAAGAAATGCTATTGCATATTTCCCCTAACAAAATTGATGTAAGGAAAGGAAAGATAGTACATTTAAAAAAAACTACTGAATTAATGAACAGAAGATCTAGTAATTCTAACTCTGTGACTAACTGGTTGTGTGACTTTGGGTAGGCCAGTTAATCCCTCTGAAACTCAGTTTTCTGTTTGTAAAATGCAGATAATGTGACCTGATTTACCTGCCTGGCAGAATTATTACAAAAAGCATGTTAAATAATATACAAAAAAAGTACTTTAAAAAATACAAAGTGTTATATTAACTTAAGGGTGAAGGAGAAAATGCACATTTCAAGAATTATCAGAAGTTGCAAATTTATTCATAGCTTAAAAAAAGTTGTCCAAATTTCCAACTCAGATTGAGTGACTTAGCAAAACTTCAGCTCTTAAAAAAGTGTTCAGAGACAAATGAGCTAGACTTTCATTAAATGAACTAAGAAGAAATTAAAACAAAAAACTTGGCTGGGCGCTATGGCTCATGTCTGTAATCCCAGCACTTTGGGAGGCCGAGGCGGGTGGATCACGAGGTCAGGAGTTCGAGACCAGCCTGACCAACATGGTAAAACCCCAACTCTACTAAAAATACAAAAATTAGCCGAGTGTGGTGGCATGTGCCTGAAATCCCAGCTACTCAGGATGCTGAGGCAGGAGGATCGCTTGAATCCAGGAGGCAGAGGTTGCAGTGAGCCAAGATGGTGCCATCAGGCTCCAGCCTGAGCAACAGAGTGAGACTCTGTCTCAAAGAAAAAAAGAAAAGAAAAGAAAACTCATTTCCCTTGAATGAAAAGCAAATGCATTTAAGTGTACAAAATGGTGGTACTATTTCATTTTTTTAAAGGAACACTAGTGAAAAACATTAACATTTAGAAGTATCATGAAGCCTTCATACCTGCAGTATTAGACTGTAGCAGACAGGGGGTAATGAATCTATCTGATATTGGATGTGGCATACTATGATGAGTTCTCAAATTCATGCTCTGCTTGAAGAGGTGCAGATTCAGGGTCAACAAAAACT
This sequence comes from Homo sapiens, assembly GCF_000001405.40. NCBI lineage: Eukaryota > Metazoa > Chordata > Mammalia > Primates > Hominidae > Homo > Homo sapiens. Next base: position 109,650,296 of record NC_000011.10, read on the forward strand.
TTCCATCAGTACTGGTTATCATCTTATTTATACTAATGCTGAAAGATATAATTGTGCGTTTTTATCTGGGCATGAGATAATATGACAGTGGTGTGAAAATAAAAACTAGATTTTTTAGAAGGCACGTACTGTTCACCATGCCTGGCCTTTTTCCTTACTTGGGCCGGCAAAAGTGCCTGGAGGAGAGTCTTCACAGTGATAAGAGTCTACAAGAACTCCAGTGCATTTGACATCGCCCTTTTGAAATGATGATCCCATCTTCTTGGTGGAATTCTCTTTTATTTCCCCAATTGGAAAGAATTTCTTGCTCTTCTGAGCTACTACAAGAGATCTCATCTGTGTGAACCATCTGGACATTTTTCTCTTTTTTTGTAATGAAGTATTTGTGTACAAGTCCAATTGCCTGTAGTAGATTGTGAACATTTAAAGGACCTGCTAACTATATTTTGATCTTCCTACTCCAAGGGTTTCTATGTCAAGGCCTTTAACAAAGAAGACAAACAAAAAAGACATTTGCTGATGAATTCACTATGCCATCTAAGTCTCTAGCTTTGCTAGACTCCTAACCAGTGGCTATTATACTGAAGTGTATTGCCCCCATGAGTCTATGAGTGCTCTTTCATAGTATTCATGAATCCTAGTTTATTCTATTTAGCTATCTATCTATCTATCATATATCTATCTATGTTGATTGGTATGGTGAGATGAATAATCTATGGCCTTCATGAGAATCTCAAATAGAGTTAAAAATCATTGCATTCTGCTCGTTCATATATTACAGACCTCCATCTGGTAGCAGTCAACTTTGGCTACACATTAGACCGCTTTTAAAACCACTTCAAGAATTATATTAATAGTATAATTGGTCTGGGGTAGAGCCTAAGCATGAGTACTTTTAAAGATTCCCTAGCAGATTGTAGTGTATAGACAAGGTTGATTCTCAACCTCAAAACTCCTTTTAGTCATTATACATCAGAGCTCTCACAGGCTGGACTGCTGTCTTAACCTCTGTTCTATGGATGTCCTGACCATTTTTACAAGGAGTAATTTTTTTAGGGCAAGCTATTAATTCAGACCTTAATTCTGAATCTTTCTGTCTCAGAATCTGAAACATTTTCTTGGGTCATTTAAAGTTTCTAGAACTATACTCAGTGCCCTCTTATTCTTTAATTCTAATAGCGAACATAATGTACTTTATAGCATCTGTGTACCCAGGGAAGGAAAGGAAATGCATTAACTGTAGTGCTCAGGAAAACTTCTCCTTATCAGTCACATGTAAACACAAGTCAATCTTGGAACAAGTAGCTGTACCAATAATTACAAAGCTCTCTTTAAACAACTAGTGTCATAACCCAGGTGAGAGCAGCTTCTTGTCCATTGGGTTTGATTTCCATGACCTATCATGAGACTTAAAACTTGATATGCTTCTCCTATTTCCCCTATGGTAAGAATTGGCAGCTTTTGGAACAGAAACAGATTTCTGAGACGTTGTCAGATTGATATCTTCTGGGGATAATTCATGACTATTATCTCAATTTGCCATTTCCTAGAATTAGGCAGCACACCACACATCTGATTCTTTGAGATGTAATTATTCACTGTGGATCATACAGGCTCTTTGCTTCTTTGCCTTCCTAAGGTAACCTCTTTGGATATTTTTCCCGTTAGCAATTCTGCCAAATTCAGTTGTAGAAGCAAAGAACGAAATTCACATGTACATGTGCTTCTTCTGTGCATCTGTGCTCATGGTCAGGTAGGAGGAGACGTCAGATTTCATAACTCAAGTTTATTGTATGATTGCCCGTGGATGTATTTATCATCCTAATTCAAAATATACAGAGACTTTTAAAAGGTTAGCTCACTTCATAGATGCCTTTCTAAGCTACTTCTGTTCTTCCTTTACTGAGAGTGGCTAATGATTTTAACTTCTACTTTTAGTTCCCCTGAATGAGTCTTCCACTGTTAAAGGCCACATTGTTAATGATAGCCTGAGTGTGACCATGATGAGCTGACTAACATAAAAGATAAATAGAAGAAGATCTTCTTATGTGCAAGGTCCTACAAATAAGAAGAAAATGTACAAGCAGAGGCTGAGGAGAAAGTGGCTAATGGAGAATGCCAGGAAATACTTCTGTGGACAGAGAAAGTTACAAAACCAGCAGAAGTCCCTGCATTTATAAGGTCAGTTGGTAGTTCTGACAAAGCATCCACAGGATGCTTAGTGCTCAGAAATCAACCCCAGTGTGATGCGTAATCGTGAACAAACGGCACAACAGGAACAAGGGCTGATATCTTTATGCGCAGGGCAAACCAGTCAAAGCTATAACCGGGTTCACTGAAAGTTCGGATTCTATACCATTATGAGATATATAGCTCTTAGAGGCAAAAAAAAAAAAAATCAGTATTTAGAAAAAAATAAAGTGCATTTATGAAGCTTGCTGGCCCTCTCATGAGTCTTTATTCTGGGGACATTAATTTGTATAGCTAGGGCTTTAGGGGAGCACTATGGCATAGAAATGGAAGATACGGGTTTCTGAGTTAGACAGTCAAAGGTTCAAATCCCTATTCCACCACCGATATGAGGCATAGCTGTGTGATCCTGTTATCTTTTTAACTTCTGTAAGTCTGGTACAAATAAATGGTTATATATTAGCTTCTATTACTGTTATTATTATAGCAACAAAGATATTTATTAAGAATTCAGTATTATATTAGACACTGAGTTAACGGACCTAGCTCTCACTATCTGAAGACAGTCTAATATAGTAAAAAGAATAAGATTTCCTGGTACAGAGACCTTGATTCTCATCTCTGCCCTATCAATTGTCTATTTATGACTCGCATCAAGTTGCTTTTCCCTTTTAAGCCTCCATTTCTTCATTTAGAAAATGAAAGATAACACCTACTTAAAAGGTTTATAAGAATTAAATGATTAGATAACATATGCTATCTGGTTAGCAAAGTGTCTGCTGTGTAAATGGTCCACAAAAGAAGGATGGTCCTTTTCATTCTTACCTCTGCAACCTTCCAGCCACTGAGTGCCCAGATTGATGTGCAGTGTGGCAAGGCACATTCCTACCCAAGCACAAGCACTGAATAAGTACACAGGTTAATGTCAGATTGCACAGGCATGGTCAGATAGAGGAATCAGAGTGGAACAATAAATGATGAGACGAGCATTGGTGTTGACGCTTTAGATGTAGAAAGGGCAAGAGGCATTCACTATTAGTGGATGAGATTACTTTAAACAATGTTTTATACAAAAGTTAGAAGAAGGCTAATTTCTAGAGGCCTCCTTGATTCCAAAGACTTTATGAAGAGCTGGGAGTTCATCATGTGCATATATCTGTGATTGTTTGGAATTTTTACAAGATGGTTCATGTTCAAGAAGTATAATTGTTAAGTATTGACTATTTATATGGCTACTTTATAAGTAAGAAGATTATATCTTCCAAAGGCTTTGGAAATATTATTTTGCAAACCTTAGTTAAAAGGTACGATAGAGGTAAATGAGATAAAGTGCCTTAGTTTATTTCTTGAAGTAATTGCCTAAAGGAGACAAAGATTTGAGGAGTAGGAGGCAATTACTCCCTTCTGGCTGCTTTGCTAGTGAAAAAAAAGGAATGGCCTTGGAAAAAGTTCAATGGATGAGAAGAAAACTAATTTTGTTGCTGTTGTTCTAAGTCCAACAACAGAAAATTAACAGGTTGAGCATATTTAGTTAGTATTTTTTATACTAGTGTGTATCTTGTTTATTAGTGTCTGTTGTCTTTATTACAGTTAATGCTTCAAAATGGCATTGAGAACTGAAATGAATTGACCAAAAAAAAATGTGTATTTTATTTACTCTTTTCTTCTTCGGATTAATTTTTAAAACCAACATCTTCTTTTTGATGTTGTTTTCTCTAACAAGAACAGTTAAATAAACAAATCATTAGGCTGAGAACAGACATGCTACCACAAGCCCAACTGCCCAATTTAACTGATCACTGATGGATGTTAGTCATGACATATGACATCCAACTTTCTAAAAAGCAAAATTCCTGTACTGTTTTGTCAATTATTGCAGAGAGGTAGCTTACAAATGTGCTAAAACAAGAAAAAGAAAGAAAAGTTGTAACATGTCACCGGTGCTTGTTTTCTGAGATCTGTTCTTTTTCCTTTGTCAATGACTTACTTCTGTTGGATTACACAAATACAGCATGTTGCTGTAATCAGTCTCTGCCCAGTATGAATAAGCTTTTGGGAACAAGCAGTGGGTATAATACTAGTTATTCAAACCTCCAATTTTTCTTTCATTGAATAACAGCTTTTATTTGTAGCATTAGTGTTGATTCCATTCCAACTTCTTTTCTTAAGATGGAGGACGATGGGCTCCTGGGGTTTTTTATACTCTCTTTCCAGCTAGGAATTATTTCCTAATAATATAGGCAGGAGGAGCTTGCTTCCCAAGGGCAAAGCATTAAATCTCAGTACTTTCCTTCCTGGGCCTTAACTGAGTGCTAAGTGTTCTCGCTGAGTCAACTTTGGGAAGGAAATCAGGTTTCTCTGTATTCAATAGATGTGCTAGGCATGAGGGAAGATCATATCTTCCAAGGGCTTTGAAAATATTATTTTACAAACCTTAGTTAAAAGGTATGATAGAAGGGAGATAAAGTGCCTTAGTTTATTTCTTAGAGAAATTGCGTAAAGGGGACATAGGTTTGAAAAGTAGGAGGCAATTACTCCTTCCTGGCTGCTTTGCTAGCGAAAAACAAAAAAGAAGAAAAGAAATGGCCTTATGTATTCATTCATTTTCATGCTGCTGATAAGGACATACCCAAGACTGGACTGGGCAATTTACAAAAGAAAGAGGTTTATTGGACTTACATTTCCAAGTGTCTGGGGAGGCCTTACAGTCATGGTGGAAGGCGAAAGACATGTCTCACATGGCAGTAGACAGGAGAAGAGAGACTGTGCAGGAAAACTCTCCTTTTAAAACCATCAGATCTTGTGAGACTCATTCACCATCACAAGAACAGCACAGGAAAGACCTGTCCCCATAATTCAATCACCTCCCAATGGATTCCTCCCATGACATGTGGGAATTGTGGGAGTTACAATTCAAGATGAGATTTGGGTGGGGACACAGCCAAACCATACCACCTTGGAAAAGTACTCTTCTAATTTCTCCCTTTCCATGAAAATAACTCTCAGGAATGATCATGTAATGTCCTATACACACTCAGGATGGGAAAGCAAAAACATTAAAATCTGTCTTGTTAAAGTGTGTGTGCCAGAAAACGCGTCCCTGTCCTAGCAAGGGTTACAGGGTGTATGTTAAACATCTCAGTGGGTGTGAAAAGTTGATGATGGGATTGCATGTATATAGATTTTTATGCTTATCCCAGAAATAATAAGGATAATAATAGCTCACATTCATTGAATTATTACTGTGTGCCAGTCTCTGGCTGACCAATTCATACATGTAACTCATTTATTACTTCCAGCTACACCATGGGGTAAGTATAACCACCCCCACTTTTTCATGAGAAAACTTAATGATTCAAGTAACTTACAGAAGGCCTCAGAGTTTAATAAATGGTAGCGCCAGGAATTGAATCCAAGTCTATCTGATGCCAAATTTTGTAGTCTAACCCCTACTTAGGCTTATCCATGCAATCTTAAATGCCAGCTCTGGGCTTCGTATTTGCTAATGGAGATGTCTATTTCCATAATGGACTCAAATACAACAATCTCATTTCACATTTTTAATTTTTTTCTCCCTGTGCCAGAATGACAATATATTTTGAGAAGCCACTGCACTGGATACCAGAAATCTTAGGTTCAACACCATTCTTTTCTAACTTCTTTGAGACTTTGAGCCATGGATTATCAATTCTCACTACGGTACTTTCCCTTTCTACAATGTCTATTTTTTCAATCCTACTTCTCTTTCTTTAAAAAAAAATCCTGTCTTCATTCTATCCTTACTTTAGTTACTATCTTCTTTGTCTTTTTATGGTCAAACTTTTTAAAAGATCAGTCTACACTCCTCTATGTCTACATTTCTTTATCTCCCATTCACTTCTCAGTCTCCCTCACTCTGCCTTCAAGCTCTATCAAACCACAGAAACTGCTCTCACTGAAATATTACTACCTAACTGTCAAAACTAGAGCCTTTCTTCTTGACTATGCTGTAGTCACTGCCCCTTCTGCCTTCTCTCTCGGAAAGAAAAGAGAAGGCTCTTTTTCTCCACGTTCTCCTTCCCCTCCTTAGTTTCCTTTGTCAGTCCTCTTCCTCTGCTCCCTCTCCAAAATGTCATTTTGGAGTTGCCTCGTTGATTCCAACAACTTCAATTACTATCTAGTATGTGACTTTAAATTCTATAACTCTACCCCAATCAGGTTTTATTTATTCACTTACCCAAAGTTAAAATATTGAGCAACCAAATATAAGACACTGTGCTCGAGTCCATGTCCTCGAGGAATTTGGGGTCTGAGAAGGGAGACATGCTTACAGGCAAGCAATTATAAAACAGAAAATCCCTTGACAGAAACATGGAAAAAATGAAAAAATGCACCCAGGAGGTATCCCTATGTTGTCTGAAGAGGCAGAAATTATTACAAAAGAGCTTTCTAGAAGGAATGACCACTGACTTCAGTAGTGGAGTGGCAGGAATTGGGGTAGATGGGAGAGTGGGTAAAGGACAGGTGAGAAGCTATTCCAGGGAAGGGCAGCATGAACAAAGACATGGAGAGAGAACCAGCTTGTGTGTCTGAGAAACTCCATGTGTTTTGTGAGTGCCAAAGTCCAAGTAAGAGAATAGCAAGAGATGATGGGGATCGCAAGAGTCAGGTCAAGGAGGGATTTTTATGCCTTGTTAAAGTGTTGGGTCATGTCATAAATGGTAGGTTTTATATACAGGATAATAATAGTGAAATATACATTTATGTAGATCATACCTATAAGATTCTTCATATTAATTAACCTCAAAGTCAACATATTTTTATACCATTCCCAAAACTACACATCCTTTTCTAGATCTTTCCATTGAAATTTGGATTTAAAGTATATCCAGGTATCTGCTGGATAATACTACTTAGATATTGAATGGGGAATTCAAACTTACCTCTCATCACATATTCTTTATCTCTGTTGGAACATCATCTTCCACCCACTCTTACAAACTAGAAACCTCAGTGTGATCCACGGTTACCCCTTTCATTCAAACCCTACACCAATCCTTCTCAGATTTTTCTGCCAAATACCCCTAAATGGAAGTGATAAATGATTTGTTAGAGCTTGAAAGCAAGAATGAGATGGATTGAGGAGTGAATGGGAGGTAAAGAAATTTAGATCTCTTTTAAAGGTTGGTCAAGAAAGACAAGAAAGAGTACTGGGCCAGACATGATGGCTCATGTCTGTAATTCCAGCACTTTGGGAGGCTGAGGTGGGAGGATTGCTTAAGCCCAGGAGTTTGAGACCAATCTGGACAACATAGAGAGGCCCCATCTTTATGAAAAATTTAAAAATTAGCCAGGTGTAGTGGTATATCCCTGTAGTTCCAACTACTTGGGAGGCTGAGGTAAGAGGATCACTTGAGCTGGGGAGGTTGAGGCTGCAGTGAGCTGTGATTGTGCCACTGCACCCCAGCCTGGGGCAGCAGAGCAAGACCTGTCTCAAAATAAAAAAGAAAAAGAGGATAGTGAATAAAGTAAGAAAGAAATGAAGACAAGATTTTTATAAAGGCCTTCAGTGGAGTAAAACATATCTTCCTGTGTAGTAATAATTCAACCACCAAAAGTAAAAAATCCCTTAGTTTATCTTGTATTAGAAAGTCAAGCAAGGTTTGAGTTTAATTAAAAATGTCTTTTTTGTTTGAATATTGTATCACTTGGCTAGTGCTATATAACAACCAACCACAAATTCTCAGTGGCATCAGCAATAAGCATTTATTTAGTTCATGCATCTGTGGTCATCTGGGCTCAGATGAGTGACTGTTGAGTTCAGCTGGCTTCTCTCACACACATCTGAAGCAGCTAGGAGTTGACCCATGTAGGCGGGTCCTTACTGGGGAGGCTTAACCGGAATCTGCGTGTCTCTCATCCTCCTCTTGGGATCAGTGAAGAAGCAGAACTATAACTAAGATTCAGGGAAGTAAGCCCAATCATGTAAGTAGTTTTCAGGCCTTTGCTCATGTCCTGTCCACTAACACTTCATCAGCCAAGACAAGTCACATGGCCAAACCCAAGCAAAGTCAAGGGCAAGGAAATACACTCTATTTATTGCATTAATGCAAACCACCACGAATATAAACATGTTTTAAATGACCTAGGCAAATTAACAACATTTCCCTCTACAACCAAATGTAAAATAGATGCCCCAGGAGATGGGTCATATAACTTATCTGTCTCCTTATCTGTAAAATATGTCTGATAATGATATTGTTGAAAGGAATAAATTGCTTAGCCCAGAGCCTGGGGCACATATTACCCAGTTGACAAAGGTTAGTATTATCAATATTACTACTTTTGGCATAGGGTTAAAATATATAATACTTCTGTTGACTTTTCTTTTTTTTTTTCTTTTTTGAGACAGCATCTCACTTTGTCACCCAAGCTGGAGTACAGTGGTGCAATTTCAGCTCACTGTAAGCTCTGCCTTTCGGGTTCAAGTAATTCCCCTGCCTCAGCCTCCCGAGTAGTTCAAATTACAGGTGCGCACAACCATTCCCGGCCATTTTTTGTATTTTTAATAGAGACGGGGTTTCGCTATGTTGGCCAGGCTGGTCTGGAATGCCTAACTTCAAGTAACCCACCCACCTCAGCCTCCCGAAGTGCTGGGATTACAGGTGTGAGCCACCATGCTGGGCCCTCTCTTGACTTTTCACACTTGGACTGTGACCATCATGCATCCTAGGAATTAGTTTTGGATGAGCTTTCCAGATTATGCCGTATATATGCCTCCTAGCCCATCGTTACATATGCCAACTTGGGAAGTTTCTCAAAGATTACAGCAATATCAGATTCATAAAGGAAATGGAGACTTACATCTTCCCCAATTCTCTCTTAAGCTTGCCTTTTCAGAAACTTTCTAGTTCAGATGCCTCTCGAAGTCAAACAAATCAGTACATTTCTCTGTTCCTCCCTGAGGAATGGATTACCACTTCCAAAAAAAATTATTCCCTAGCAAAGTTACATTTATTAACTGGAAATAAAAAATAATTTGGAAATAAATTTATTATAAGTAGATCGATATTCCTCTCTGCTCCCTGCTGCAATATTATAACACAAGATTAGAATACATTTACTACATTCAGCACTTAGGCTTTCAGTGGTTATAGTCTGTAAATCAATGTTTCATAATATAATTCAAACTAATCCCATAATTGAGTCTAATTAACAATCGTATCAGACAATTATTACAGAATTACTGAAAGTAGAGATTGAAGAGATTTGTTCATTTATCCTATGTGCCCCCCACTGACTACAGTTCCCTGTGGCTTTTATTTCAAAGTGATCTGTTTGGTTTTATCTTGAAGTCTTGTAAAAATTAGTCTTTCTGATTTTTTCCTTTGAGACCCCACTTAGAAGTACAATAGGTTTTACCAGATATTTTGGCATAATATTTATTTTCAATGGTACTTGCCTCTCATAATTCTTTTAAGATATGTGCTCCATTTGGGTTGTTACAAGGCAATCTAGACTACAATACATTTGCAAGAGAGGAAATGTACAGTGACAGTGACTATAAAAAAGATAATATATTAGCTGTTTAACAAAAAGCACAATCAGATCCAAGTGCTCATAGGGGAATTTGTTTCTACTTCTCTGGCTCTGCCTTTCTCTGATCAGTTTTCTTCTCTGCCAGGCCGTCCCTAAGTGGCAGCAAAAGTGGATTTCAGTAGCTCCAGGCTTCCACAAGAGACCTACCCTTTTCCAATGTCTGTATTAATCCCCCCAACAGATGCCGATTGGGGCTGGAATATGTACCCACTCTTAAGAAATTCTGCCCCAACTTGGATGGAATATTCTGACTGGCCAGGCTAGGTCACATGTCTACCATTATTTTGGTAGAAGAAGTAAGATCCCTTGATCAATGGCTCCACAGAATGATAGGCAGGAGAGGGGGATCAGCTCCTATAAGGAATGCATGTAAGGGGCAGACAAAACAAAAAAGTATAGACACGTACCACCTTCCTTAATCTCGTTCTAAACTAGTTGCAACTTCTTCCACCTTATTTCCTCAGAAGTTAAGACTGTGACGGAGCCCCACCTACTATTCCAGCTATCTAAAAAGGCACAATAGAAAGGTTTTTTGTTTGCTGCATTATGAAAAATTCTGAGCCAAGTGAAAAAAAGAACACGCTGACATTTCAAGCATCCAAGCGAGCCTGATCTTAAGCATGTCGGGTGATATGGAGAGCATGGGAAAAGAAAGAGAACTGAAGGACATTTTCAATCCCCCTGAGAACCTACAGCCAAATTTTTTTCTTGGTACAAGAGAATAGTTCCTTAGAATCGGGTAAACTATAGGATACTACGAATCCTAAATTATAATTCCTTCATGAATTCTCTTTCCTCCTGAGAACTAAATTCTAATCGAGAGTTGAATCCGACTTCTGTTGGCAGAAGATCTGACCTTGTGAGTAGAGAAGTCATGTGGTTGGTGCAACTTAACGTAACTCATGGCAGCCTATGAGGAACTGCTGTAGGGAAGGTAGCCACTGAAGGGAAGGTCTTTGAGTATTTTTTCCATGTGGAATTCAGTTAAAGAAAAGCTGCACCTTCATACCATGAGAACTATCTGCTTGGATATTCTTTCTTGACAAGAGAAGGAATTCTTAGGATATACCATTGCCTTCCCTACTCCTCCTCAGCAGAGCCACTCAGTTTACCATTAACATCCAAAAAATTATTACCATGTCCTATGTCTTATCTTTTTGGCAAGTTGGCACGATAGTATAGGAAAAGATCTAGAAGCAATTGAACTTACTTTTGTTCTGTGATTTTGGAAAAACATAGCTCTGTCATGAGTGTTTTTAATATAATTGAAAGACATCTGATATAAAGTTAATAACAAATGTCAATGAATAAAACAACAGCCTGGTTCCTATGTGAGTTTCTCTTGTGCATCACTTTCAAAATGTGAAACAAATAAAGATACTGAGAAGGGCTAGCAGCTAGGAAAAAAACTTTCATACAATACAGGAATGTCTGTAGTTTAAAAATTATGGCTAACCCTGAGATATTGAGTGAAGTCACATAAGACAGAAACTCAGAGATTGGCATTAAGAAATGAGACTTCTCCCAAGAAAGATATTTATCTGACTCCTAGGCTGGCATCCACTCATGTGATCATTCCCAGTTTAAAGAGTATTAGCAACATTTAAAATAATACAGGTTAGGTTTATTAAAATTGATACAATTGTTTCACTCTTTACTAGATCACAAAATTACCTTCAAACCCCAATCCAAATTGCTTATATCAAGACATGAGATATTTCACTATCAGATGTTCTGGCTATGCATTGGAGATAATTGTAACTAGTTTTGACCTAGTTACAACACAATTTCTACAACAAAATTTCCTTGGAAGTAACTTGAAAATCCTGGTGGTGGCATTAGGACCTACTCAGCCTCCACACCCGTCTCAACCTGCTCATATATATATACCCCTTGAGCCCTTCATAGACATCCTACATACACAGATTCTTGGGGTTTATTCACCAATCTTGAGAGCCCTAGAAGAATATTTTGAGCATGTGGAACCCATGTTTCTCCATCTAGTTAATCTCTGAACCTAATCTTACTCAGCACCTTAAGCTAGGGACAAGTTTTATATATTGCCTAATGAGCCAGTAAGTTAGTGAAATCATCTCAATATGATGTATGTTTCTCTATATCTAAAAAGCATATAGAGCTAGCACTCTGCCTATATATGATTCAGACTACTCTATAAATAAACTGCACAAGACCAGGACTTCTCAACTTGAGAATATCTTAGACTTCACTTGATCCACATAGCTGATGACTCTATAAATAGGGTAGATAAGAGATTTTTGCTCTTGGCAAGTAGGGAACTGTCTGCCTATTACACAGGATGTATCCATGGTGAAAGTCATGACCAGATGCTCCTTACCCATGTCTCTAATGTGCTCTTATTCGATAAGGTTTGGGAAGAGGGTTGAAGAGGAAAAGATGAAGGCATCCTAGATTAATAATAAATACAGACTCTTCTAGCAGAATGACTCCTGTGCTGATGAAACAAGAACATAAATGCAAGACTGGCCTATCTATTATAGCTGTACCATTTAGCATGTACGTGTGTGTGAGAATCCTCACAGTAATTACATTCTCACAGTAATTTCCCCTTGAATGGAGAGGGTCCTATAAAACTGCCCCCCGATAGTGTCAGTCTCTCTTAAGAATCATATTATCGTATTACTATTTGCTAGAGTCTTATCTATTCTGGGCTAATCCTTTTCTAATCCTTTCTAATTTAATTATTTAATCCAAGTTATTCATGCACATTGTTTAAAGAATTAAGATTTCCATAAGGATTATTTAAAACAAAATTAAACCAAACAAAACAGCTGTCCTCTATCAAAATCCTTGCCTGTTTTCTGCTCCTCAGAGAAAATCACTTTAAATTTGTTTGATTGTTAATTTTAGTATTCACCTCCATATCTCTACTTAACATGGTTATTGTCCCACTTCTTTGTCTGGGGGAGGTTTTGGTATTAACGATTATGGTCCTATGGAAGAGGATTTTGTTCTCTTTCACTACCACTTCTTGTGCTCCATTTATCTGAAATGATTGTATCATAATTATGATAGGACCAGCATTCAGTACTTACCTTAATATGACAAAGAAAACATTACTCACAGCCTAGCCTTGTAGTATACTAAAATAACTTTCACTTTTCTGTGTTTTGTTTTCCTGGAGTTAAAAATTACAGTAAACTGTTTAGTTTTCTGTGTACTTACATGTCATCAGTTCATAAACCAACTCTCTCAATATATGCAGACACATCAGGCATCTCATCAATTTCATCTTCTTAGAGACATTTTCTTATAGCTTTCTGTCCTACTCCAGTGTGAAATGTGGTTTCTACGTTTCACAGCAGCTTTCTTGGGGTCTCTCTTCATCATTAACCTGGGGATTCCTTTGTCTTTATCTTGAGTTTGATCTTCTGATCTTTAGATCCTATTTTTTTCTTCTTTTCTTAGCATAGTCTCTTGTGTTATGGGGCACAGTTTGCAGCAGTTTCCTCAAAAAGGGTGTTTCCTCAATGTTCTCAGATAGTAGTTCATGATAGATACAGAACAAGATAATTCAATTCAGAAGTGCCAATATCTGGTATGTATAATAAATGCCTTGATATTCTGGTAGATATTCTTGAATTCATTTACTCAACAAATATTTGACAAATATTCTTTAAGCCTCTGTTATGTGTCAAGCACCAAGTACAATGTCCTTTAATGCAGAAACATAAATGGTGTTAAATTATAAGTCTGTAAATATTTTACAGTTTCAAATCCCTAATCAAATGTATGAAAAATTGTGATTGGTAACAATCTATAGTTGCTACCCTTCTCTTCCACCTTTGAACTAAAGTGTTATTATATCCAGTGTCCAAATGGGGATAACTTATGCATTACTTAGTGTAATAAAATCAGATTTTAAAAATATATATACAATTACCATGACCTTCTTTTTTTTTGCTTATTGTTGAAAAGCAACTTGAAATCGAAGTTAGTGCTGGTTAAGCTCAATGTTTCTGAAAAAGGAATCCGAAGTCCCAGATCCCAAATATTGAAGTGTTTGTACAATACTTTCATTCACTCTGTGAATCTTAATGTTATACATGAAAAGGAATTCACAAAATGCAATAAGGCATGTCAGCATTTGTCCAGCTCTATGTGGGGTATTCCTTAATCACTTTTATGAATCTCATTTGTCTATAGCTTAAGAAACTTTGCTCAACAAGTATAAACTGCTATCTATATCTTACAGAAAATTTAAGTCTTTCTTATTTATGTAATGGGAAATATCATACTAGTTAAGAACAAGGCTCTAGAGCTAAATTACCTGGGTTTAAATCTTGTCTCTGTCATTTCCTGACCGAATAAGCATGACTGAATAATTTATGTTCCCTTTGCTTCATTTTTTCTGTCTGCAAATTGGGGACAATGATAGCAGGATTAACATGAAATAATTCATGTCAAGTACCTTGAACAGTACCTGGCCCTTATCATTATAATTATCCAATTATTGTCCCAAATATAACATATAGGGAAAAATATAAGACTTTTTCTTGCAGAGGGATTACTCATCTCCTTCCTTTACTCTGTGGCATGTGTTTTCCTTTGACTGTTAAAAATTCCTATTTCTTTTGGTTATTAGAATAATGTTATGATTATTATTATCCCATTTTCAAAGTAAGCAAACTGAGATTCAGATGTTAAGTGATTAGCCCAGGGTCCACACTTAAACCCAAGTCCTTTATTCACAAATCCCATGCTCATTCTATTACATGAAACGGCCACCATATAAAACAGCAAATGACGATAATTTATCAGTTTTTAACGAAATGACTTTGGCTCTTGTATTTGAAGAAAATACACACTTTTATTTTTAATGCAATGACTGTGGCTCTTGTATTTCGAGAAAATGCTGACAGTAATGACTCTATGTACAACGATAAAGCTAGAAAGATTACTTCAGCCCAAGGAGATTCTATACCATGAAAATGGGAAGGTTGCAGCTTTTGGCCATGGCTGCTATTTTGGGTGATTCAGTCTCCCAAACCCCTGGTGAGCCTGAAGCTTTGTTTGGGAAGGGAACAAATAAGTCTCTGGCAACCAACCCAAATGTCATTCAAAACAAACTATCAAAATGTATATAGTTTTAAAATATATGTCCATGTTCATATTATAAATTTAAAGTGTAAGTTTTAGAGAAGGATCAAATAGTTATTAGGAGTTTAAAAACAAATTATCTGCAGGACTGTTTTATACTGAGATTTTTTTTAAATTGGTTTAGTTGATTTATAAGCTTCAAGGTGTGGCAACACCTAATTCTGTCATCTTTACTGACGCTACTCCTAAGCCATTGGATTATTTGTTCAACAAAAAAACTTCCCATTGTATCTAGAGCAATTAAAAATTGAAGATACAGTTGAATAAACTATTTAATTCTTTAATACCTAACACACTTAGATCCCCACTCCTTCTATATCCTTTGTTTTAAATACTTGATTTTTAATATATATAATGCATTAAAACCAAAGGACCTTAAGAACTAACAGATACATTTTACCTTTTCCCTTCTTGCATTCTTTGCTTCAATCTATAAATAAAATTGATATAGGAGTTAAAAAGAAATTATTTAGGCAGATAGTGAGGGTATGGGGGTCATTAGTAAGGGTTTCCTTTTAATGAAAAGCAGCCCCAAAATCATTTTCTTTTCTAACAAAGACCAGCCTGTAAAATTGACCTGGAGACATAGACAAGGGATCTAGAAGCTTGCACAGGTGAATGCCAGCAGCTGTGCCAGTAGGAAAAGGCTACATGGAACTAGGCATGTTCAAAATGGCGGCTCCATCTTCCTTTCTCTTTGCCAGCCATGTGTATAGTAAGGAGCAGGCAATATGGCACCGACCAGGTAAAGACCCCATTTGTATTATAAGATTAGGGTCAGGTGGCCAGCTTCCCCACACACTGCGTAAACGTCACACCTGGTCCAACCAATCTGTGGACCCTATGTAAATCAGACACCACCTCCTTAAGCCTGCCTATAAAATCCAGTGCCCCACACCGTGGCTGGACTTCCCACTCGGGAGCTCCTCTCTCTCTCTCACAGGAGAAAGGGGTGTTCTCCTTCCTCTTTCTTCTGCCAATTAAACCTCCACTCTTAAACTCACTCCTTGTGTGTGTCTGTGTCCTTAATTTCCTTGTCATGAGGCAACGAACCTTGGGTATTACCCCAGACAACGATGCCACTCCAAAATGTGAAACAAAGCAATTTCTTGAATATTAAAATATAGACACCATGCATGTCTAAACTTCAAGCAGAGAGATTTTGTTCAGTCATTCAGTATAGCCAGAAAATCTTGAAGCTGAGTTGTACCCCCAGATCCTCTCACCTCACTTCCTTCCAGACGGAGGAGCTCTCTTACCTGAGTGTAGAGGCTTAAATCTGCTAAAAGGGAGGTGGTCTCGGACACAGAATGGGATGATGACTTATCTTGGGCTGTTTTGCTCCATGAAAATTTAGTGGAAAACAACTCCTTATTTGGAGTTGTTTACTCTTTCTGGCTTTTTCCCTTTCCTGGGACTTAAGGCGATCCTTTCCCTGAGGTTTGGGAAACTCTTCAGAGGAGCCCATGGAGGTGAGTGCCACTGCCCTAGGAAGCTTGTTCATGGCCCAAAGCAGCCAGATTTTCACCTTCAGCACAGGCAAGGCTGAGATATGCAAGATTATCTCAGTTGGCCTTATTTAATAAATAGCTCTGTCCTTTTCAAAGTAACACATTTCCTGAGTCTGAAGCAACACAAATAAACTGGATTTCTGAAAGCTCAATCTTGAGAGGAAACACACAATGAAATAAAATACCTTTGCCATTCTTCATAAAAATATAAAGGCAGAAATAAGAAAAAGAGCAACAACTGAAATCCCTGGTCTTCAGTCTAGTCATTTGATCTTCTGCCTGAACCTCTTACCAGAGCTGCCTTGATAGCAATGCAATTGATAGGTTTAAATTTTATTTCTACTTTCCACCATCCAGCAGAGATGATGGTAAAGCCAAGTTTGTTAAATGACAGGTGAGAAAGATGTGGGGAGTAAAAGAATAGAGAAAATTGAGGTCTGGCTTCCCAATTCCTGTGTAATTGAGCATTAACTGCATCAAGTTTGTGTAATTTTATGACAAAGCCCAGATGGAGGTGTGAGACAGACTTTAAGAGTTTATATGACTTGCTCTTAATAATATTTTCCTGCTTGGCATGGACATTTTAACAAAACAGAGAATGTTTTTGGCTAGATGCATCAGCAGGTTTTCAGGAACTGAAAGGTAAATCAGTACCTGTGCCACTGGGAGAGGGAAAGGACCCAGCTGGATGAAGCAGAGCAACTGAGAAGACCCACGCTTTGTGATGGGCCAACAGATTCCAGAAGGGTTCATTCTGCAAGGCTGGGAAGGCGTCCAGTATCAATGATGGATGGTTTCAGACAGGCTCACTTTTATATGCAGATCCACAGAGCCAAGAGAAGGGCCCAAATCATGCAGTTGTACCCTATCATACTATGAATCCACTGCAATTTCTACCTCACAGCATCTGGCTGTGTGTGAGATAAATCCAGGTAGCAACTTCACATTCAGAAGCTGCAGAATTTAAGTAACTGTTGCTCCTGCCTTGGAGAGATCATACCCCTCTATGTTTCAGGTGGGGATGTTTTAGACTCTAGTGAAAATCCATTTAAAATGGGTACTGGTCCCAACTACTTTGTCTAAGTGAATCAATTGTTTCTCTCTCTTTCAGGAAGCAGTACAGTGTTAAGTTAGTGAGGAACAACCTGGCCCAGGAAATGGGCCTGTTTGGCAAGTGTTTGACTGAATCAGAGGAGCAGCCCTGTGGGCAGGTAAAAATCAGACACTCCCCTTGAACAAGGAAGCAATAGGGAAGGAGAGAAGAAAAAGACACACTGTGGATGGGAGCAAACTGTAACCACCCAACAGGTTCCCCTTGCCTGCTGCCTAGACAGAGCCAATTTATCAAGACAGGGGAATTGCAATAGAGAAAGAGTAATTCATGCCGAGCTAACTGTGCGGGAGACTGGAGTTATATTACTCAAATCAGTCTCCTGGAAAATTTGGAGATAGGAGTTTTTAAGGATAATTTGGTGAGTAGGGGGTCAGGAAGCAGAGAGTGCTAATTGGTTGGGTAGGAGATGAAATCAGAGGGAGTTGAAGCTGTCTTCTGCACTGAGTCAGTTCCTGGGTGGGAACAAGACGACCAGATGAGACAGTTTATCATCTGGGTGGTGCCAGCTGACCCATCTAGTGCAGGATCTGCAAAATATGTCAAGCCCTGATCTTAAGTTGTACAATAGTGGTGCTATCCCCAGGAGCCATTTGGGGAGGGTTTGTTTTGGGAGACCGCTGTTGTCATCTTTGTTTCAAAGCTGAACTATAAACGGAGTTTCTCCCAAAGCTAGTTCAGCCTACATCCAGGAATGAACAAGGACAGCTGGGAGGTTAGAAGCAAGATGGAATCAGTTAAGTCAGATCTCTTTGACTGTAAGATTTGTGACAGAGACAGGAGACAGCCAAGGGTCCCCTTTGAAACCCCATCTTCAGGCCTAAAACAGCCTGAAGGTTAAGAGACCAGACTGCTGGTCCCAGATGAAACCTGCAACCCAGAGGGAGAACTGCCTTTGTTACCTGCACTTTCCCGACTGATTCTTTCTGAATAATGCCCACATGCGCAATGAGGGAACTAGGTGGAGCCAAGGGAAGTTTGCACCTTGTGCATGGGGAAGGAGCCTGGGCTCTTCAGCTCTGGAATTCAATCTGTGAGGTGGGAGCTGCTGGCAGCACTCCCTCTTGCTTTACTGAGTGTTTTTTCTTCTTTCCTTTTTGCCCAATAAATTTGGCTCTCTTCACCCTTCAGTGTGTCCACATGCCTAATCTTTTCTAGTCGTGTGACAAGAACCCAGTTTTAGCTAAACTAGAAAGCAAAAGTTCTGCATCAAGTGTCTCAGTTATAATTTTTGCAACAGTGTATTGAAGACCATTATTGTTGGCAACATCCCTTGGTCTCCAGGGAAAACTGCAAGTTGGGACTGGAGAAGAGGGAGGCTGTGAGATGACTTGGGGAAGGAGTACTCTGAGCAGCCTTGCCACATACTAAAGGAGAACAGCTGCAGAGTCTGGTATCACACTGACCTATTTTCAAATCCAAGCTTAGTCATTTCTTAATCATTTGCTACTTTTGTTCATCTAAAGCAAATTAGTTTTTCCTAGGAACAAAATGAATTTTGTAATAATATCTCAGCTTAAGAGCACTTGTGAGGGTTAAAGGAAATACTTCTCAGGTGTTTATCACTATGCCCAGCACAGAGTGAGCACTCAGTAGGTCAATGGCAGGGTTTCATAGCGGCTACCAAGGAAAGGGAAAGTGCTTCTCCTCTCAAAACCATTGTAACTTTCCTCCCAAGTGGGGAGAAAGGTCCCAGAGGCAGAATGGCTGTTATCCAGGAATGCTCCAGGGCATCCACCTCTCAGGCAGGGCAAATAACCATGACAAAACCCAAACCAACTATAAGTAGAAAAGTTAGAAGGGATATTTTATTTTAAAGACTTTGGAGTGTCTCAAAGAAATACAAAGAGAGAAATGCAGTGGGGCCTCAGGAATAACTTGAAGTAGAAACCTGGGACCCAATTGCTTTGTTTTGTTGAGTAGGATTCCTTTTTCCATGAGGCAACACAGAGCTAAGAAAGGCAACAGGGGAGTTACCACGGCTGCCTGGACCCTGTCCTTCACTCTGTCTTCTGTGTTTCTTTGGTGTCTGTTTTGCTGAGGTCATGGCTGTGGAGACTTGTAATTGTGGGGTCCAAGTAGCAGAAGATACTCTTGGATTTACATTTTATAGTCTACTTCCTCAAAGAGTGTCTAACTTGTTTTTGCCAGTTACAGTTTCACACAGGAATGACAGTGATTGTCCTGTTTGGGCAAAGCAGCTGCCCTTAAACCCTAACCATGTCTGTGATGGGCACAGTTTGGGTCAGTTACTCAGGCCTGGATCAACCACCACAGCCACTGGGGCAGAATCATGTCAGATTTCACAGGGTGGGTCCCTGTGACCATGTACATGGGATCAGAGGGGACAGTTCCCAGAAGGAGTGGAATTCTTGGAAGATAGAGTGTTGGAGGACTAAGCACAGAGGGCTCTCCATGCTGGAAGGGTGATGTGATGGAAACAATTCACTTTTTCCATATTCTTGGATTCCATGAGACTGTCATGCTCTAATACTGTGTTCTCCACAGAGGTGGAATGAACTATGTCATTAGGATGAACATAGAGTTCCTTGTAATTTTGGAAGGGGAAGAAGGGTTGTAGGAATTTTTCAAAAAAGGATGTTTTTGTATCATTTTTTGAAACAAGTCTTTTGGAGTCTGATGGCCCAATGCAAACAACTCAGGATTTACTTGACTTGTATTGATTAATAGAATGTAAAAGTTAAGAGGTGGGATTGAATTTTGGTTGTGCCACATAATTACATGACCTGGGGCATATTGCTAAGACTTGGTTTCTTCATGTATAAAAAGATAACAAAGATACAATCCAATCAGTGTTGTGAGAATTGTGAGAAAGTACATATAACATGTCTAATATAGTGTGCAAGACGTAGCACTCAAGAGACAATTGATGGCCAGGCAAGGTGGCTCCCAGCATTTTGAGAGGCCAAAGCAGGCAGATCACTTGAGGTCAGGAGCTTGAGACCAGCCTGGTCAACATAGTGAAACCCCATCTCAACTAAAAATACAAAAGTTAGCCATGGGTGGTGGTGCACGCCTGTAATCTCAGTTGCTCGACTGGCTAAGGCAGAAGAATTGCTTGAACCCAGAAGGCAGAGATAGCAAGGACCTGAAATCTCACTACTGCACTCCAGCCTGGACAACAGAGTGAGACTTGGTCTCAAAAAAAAAAAAAAAGAGACAACTGCTACATTCCTTATTCCTCTTAATTTTATTCAACAGATTAATAATATACAACTCTAAATTATAGCTGTGTCTCTTTTCTTTTTCAGAGATGATAAACATCCTGAGGGCCAGGGTTCCTTCTTACTGTCTTTATTTCATCAGCCTCCCTCGTACTCCCTTTGCAGCAGCTCACCAGATGTTGACCAGATACTGAGTAGTGAGTGAATGATGACTGGACCAGATGGCTGGTGGTCCGATGTGTGTTTTCTACTGTTTTGGAGGAGGGGCTCTGTAAACAGGCAGCATCCTATGGTAACACAATTAGGATGTACACAGTGAGCTGGCATCTTTCACACTTTGAGATGAATTAGTTCCATTTATTTGTTCATTTGTTCATTCATTTAACTATTGAATGTCTACTAATATTGCAGATGTCAGCCAATTTCTGTATATGTGGTGGTGAACAAACTCCCTGCTTCCATGGCATTTTCATAAAATACCCTATGCTAGTGCAGGGCTTTGATGCCTCTATGCACAAACCCATTAGCCCTGGAGTATAACTTCTGTTTAATTTTCTGTATGCTCCACTTGTCAGTGACCTCCTTTAGAACAGACACCACACATTTTTTTTCTGTGCCTTGCTTAGTGACTTTTGCCATAACAGGGCTCAATAAATAGTGAACAAATGAATGAATAAATGGATGAATAATTTCCTAGAATTATCCTAGAGAACCCTGATAGCCTTTGCATACATTTATTCCTTATTGAATTTGCAGATCTTTTGAGTGAGATAGGAAAAGCAGCAACTTTTATAGGTTGAGCCCTTTGAGCCACCCAAGTCTTGCATGAATGGCTTGAGTGATAGATATATGCCCATGGTATCTGAAGCAAGCAAAACAAAGCAATATCTAACAGTGAGAATAAAATTTGATTTTAAGAAAATGCCTCTTCCTCTAATCTTCCATTTTCTCTCTTCCTAGAGAGAAAAGATATGCTTTCTCTCTTCCAACCTTTAGCTCTTTGCCCTCTGTGCTCAAACTTATTTTATTAATAATCTGAAACAATTGTTTCCATAGAAATAGCCTAGCCACTTCCCAGAGCAGAACAGTAGCTTTTGCAACTTCTGCACACTTGGGTCAGACACACAACTGTTTTGAACAGATACAGTTTTTTAAAGGTAATTGTAAATAGATTTTAACCAAGCTTTGAAATAACTGTTTAATGTTTTATTCTATTTAAACAAATGGTAATCTAGAAAACCAATGGGTTATCCTTATCCCTCCAAGAGAATAACAGACACTAGGAATTGGGTAATTAAAAAATTAACCTGTAAATAAAATATATATTGTTTTTTAAGTGATACATGCTGATCCTAAAAACTTTGGAAAACACACAAAGAAATTTTAGGTTTCTGTTCAAGAAGGCAGACTCAGCACTCATTAAAGCCTATATATCTTATCTCCAAGTCCCCAGACATTGGAAGAAAATATTTATAGCCATCGTCTTCCTGTCTTCTTTCCTGGGGTACGAAGTTATCTGAATTTGACATTACTGAGTTTAACATTAAATAAGCTGTATCAGTGATAGACACTAAATTTTTAACAGGTTGATCCATGAAAGCCGAGTATATTTGGTATCTAGCTCACTAACAAATTCCCTTTCTTCTGATTTTAGTAATGACAAAGCAAAACAAAAACCTCACTTTTCTAAAGCAATAGCATAAGACTGCCAACCAAGTTATATTTTCATTAGTGATTTATTTAGCAAAATGTATATAGCCAGGCACCATTCTGAGTGCTGTAGAAATATTAACTCACCAATTGTCATAGCAATATTATAAAGTATATACTATTATCTATATTTTACAGATGAGGAACCTGAGGACATTGAGAGTTGAGGTAAATAAGAGAGCTAGTTAATGGGATGGGGTAATACATTTCTATTCTCTGTATGGTTGCTGGAATCCTCTTACCCTAAAATCTTGCTTCAAATATATTTTTTTCAATTTAAAAAATAGACTATTTAGAGCCATTTTAGGTTCACAGCAAAACTGAGCAGAAAATACAGAGTTCTCAAAGATCCCCTCCCAGACACACGCATAGCCTCCCCTACCATCAACATCCCATATCAGAGTGGTACGTTTGTACCAACTGATGAACAGGGTCAGCACTCTGGACTCTGAATCCAGGTACAATTCTTGATCATTTCCTTCTTATTACCACTCTTTCTATTCTTCTGTCCCTGCCCCAAAGACGTGTAACTATTGCCTGTAACACTTTTTCGATAAAAGTTTAGAAATTGTTACGTGTCTATAGTTTACCTTAAAATACTTTGGCATCTATAGACAAGATATAATTTATGTCATAGGCTGTTTAATCGTCAACATTAGACGCAATCAGTTGACTTAATTGAAAATGAATGCTCCAAGAGTTCTCCAGCTAGTATTGTATCAAAAAGCTACCCTCCAGGGGCAGCTAAGACAACTGCACTTGGGTCTGTTATCCAGGTCTCACTCAATACTTAAGGCTTGGCTAATTAACACAACCAAGGACAGAAATGGCTTAACTATTGGTGAAAATAGTGGCTTGTCAATTATCCTGATAAATGTTAGAAATGGATTTTTGTGTTAATGAAATTACAGGAATTCAATACATGTAGATTGGCTTACACATTTTAGAAATATTTTTCACACTTGCTTGAAGAGAACATAAGACTGTAGCAAGCCTGGTAGCTTGTACCTCTCATCCAGCCAGTGAATAGGATTTCTGGTTAAATAGGATTTCTGGTTGGCTGATGCCAAGTGTAAAGTAACTGGATCCTGCCTCTGGAATTTTGTCCTGAATATCCCAAGTGACCCTTCACGTGAAATGATGCACAAAACACCTGCAGTGAGAGACAGCTGGGACTTCATTAACCTTAAAGAACAGGCTTACTCAACCATATTGGGCTTGGTTATTAATGCGTGTTTGTTCAGTGTACGTCCATATGTGGCCAGATCTGGTTGGAGACTTGTTTTCACTACAAGTTTACCTTTATTATAGCAAGATTATGGGGCAGTAGTTAAACTTTACTTAAACTTCTTTTGAGGCTACTGTTATTTCTGAAAAAGAGCCTAAGAGTTGAGCATGGCAAAATGATCCAAGGTCAGTTCATAATTGACATAACAGAAGGAAATTATGAAAGAAAACTAGGAGTAAATCTGAAAACTACTGTTGCTAAATCCATTGTCCATCCCCTCACTCAGGGGCTCTCTTGTTTCTTTCCTTAGACCCAAGCCCATTGACTTGTTGCTAGAATACACACTCTTCTTTGTTTCTCTGCATGGTTGGTAGAAAAGATTGTCACTTTATTACCAGAGCAATTTTGCTTCTCCTGGGTCTTGACCTCTCCCATCCAGATTGGTCTGAGAACTTTCCTTAACATTTTCTTACACAAGGGTGGTTTCCATCATGGTAGTTATTCTTGTCCTTTTTCTTCCAACATAGATATATCTCTAGTTTTAAATATCACATTTGTTTTCTTTTGTTCAAATATGAGATGACTGACCCTATGATAAGCCAGTCCAGGAAAAGGCTTAAAGTTGACAAACTTTATCTTCAGAGCTCCAAGTTCCTGTAAGCACTCCCACTGCAGGGTGCTGGGGCATTCACTCTCATCTTGTTCCAAACAGTCCTTGAAGAAGAATCTAATACACTTGTTCCCATCGAGGTATTATTTATTGGTAAGCTTTGACAGGGAATAAAGGCGGGAAAACATAGCATGATTTTCAGATGTCGACGTTCAACAAATGTTTATTGAGCAACCACTGCCTCTCACTAGGTGGATATATAAAGGTTCTAATCCAAAGTCTGCCCTAGGGCGTGGATGAAGAGGGTGGCTAGGTGCCACTCCTTCACAGCCAATTCCTCTCCATCTGCTGCTGGCTTTGCACAGGAAGAAAACAAACAAAAAAAAATCAAACACAAAAACAAAACAAAACACAGAGGCAGAGGAATAGAAAGAGTGGTAATAAGAAGGGAATGGTCAAGAATTCTACCTGGATTCAGAGTCCAGAGTGATGACCCTGTTCACCAGCTGTAACAAATGTACCACTCTGGTATGAGATCTTGATGGTAGGGGATGGTGTGTGTGTGTCCTGGACGAGGTCCATGGGAACTCTATTTTCTGCTCAATTTTGCTGTGAACCTAAAACTGCTCTAAATAGTCTATTTTTAAGCTGAAATATATAGATATATAGATATATAGATATGGAGAGAGAGCAGGTTTTTAGGATAAGAGGATTCCAGCACACAAGTCTGAGCTAAAGGAAATTCCCAAAGAAGTGTGTGTTATATAAATTCTAGAAATAAAGCACATTTGGGTCTGTACACGAAAATTTAACCTTCTAAACTATCTTCCTCCTAAGTCACTACTGGAGAAAGTGCAGTATATTTAAGAAAGAGGGTTTTTCTATTCTAATTTTACTCCTTAAAATCACATATGACATCCTGCCTCTAGGGCACTGCCCAACAGGCAGAGAGCATAGTCCACCATGTAGATGAAGCCATTTCTCCCTCAGTCAGTCAGCGGTAACCTAGCTGGAAGGCTCCATATCCCTAGCTGAGTTAAGTGCTGAATGCAAAGTCTTCTGGGAATTGGCACCTCCTTGAACGTGGCCAATATTTTGATTACAGAAACCAAAAATAGATAAGCAACTGTGGAGCTCCAGGTAGGAGACACTGAAGATAGAATGCATCTGCTTTAGCCTGGAGTAGGAGCAGAGTCTTAAGAGATGTGAGTTCTAACACCAGCTTCATCATAGCCTGTGATTCTGTCTTTGGTGGGGAGGATGGAGAGGGACGCATGGAGAAGAAGTCTGGGGAGGGATCCTACCTACATGTTCATAGGTGCTTGAAGATCATCAGGTGAGAAAAAGGTTGTGAATTCTTTCTAAATATTTAAAATTTCCCTTGCTGTTCAAATGGCAAGATACCATTGTAGTGAGAATACTTGGCACTTTTGAAATAAATGCATTTTACACAAAATCTCCGTAGCTCCAAATCATCTTCAAGTGCCTAAGTTCCTACCTTCTACATCTTCTTTCATCAAGGAGGCCCATTTCTATAGCTTGAGTGTTCTCCCTTCACCTGACTCCCATTTCTCAATTTCTATGGGTCTCTGGTTTGAATAGCTCCTGGTTCTCCCTCCTCAATCACTTCCTGGAATGAGAAATTAAAATACCATCTGCAGGATGTCCTAAGCATATGGCTTTCCTGCTACTGCCTTTTCTTTTTTCCTCTCTCCTCCTCCTTCTCTTCTTTCCTGTTCTTCATCTTGTCCCCAAAATAATGGAATAGAGTAGAGAGAGCAGAGGATTTGAAGTAGACAGGCTTGAATCCCAGCTATATCTCTCCTAATTGGGTGGTTTAAACATATTATCTAATCACTCTGAACTTCAGGCTTTTCACCTGAAAAAATAAATAAGGATAATAATTTATTTGCATGTTTGGTCCAGAGTTGGAATGATGCTATTTACCTTAGCTGTTCCCACCCTCTCCATCTATTTGCACCCTTCTGACCTGTGAAGCAGATGCCTGCTACTTTATGAAGTTCTCAGATTATCTGAAGCCTACCTGTTTACCCCAGATTAAGAACTCCTCTTCCAAACACCCTTTTGAAAGGTAATAGGAAACTACACATAATGTAGTTGTAGAGTTGGCTTCATTCAGCTATGGTAACAAAACTACACCTCTAAAAGTCATGCTTATCTTTTGATGCTAGATTCATGACCCTGGGCAAATTATCTGACCTCGCTGCTTTAGCAATAGGTTTTTGTAATGACTTAATGAGTCAATACATGTAAAGAATTCAAAATGTTTCTTGGCACATAATAATCATCCAATAAATGTGTTGTAGTAGTAGTAGTAGCAGTAGCAGCAGCAGCAGCAGTAGTAGTAGTGGTAAGAGTAGTATTTCTTGAGTGCCAAATAACATCCAATAAAGTGAATGTCCTATCTCTAGCATTCTGTGCTGCAAAAAAAATCAAAGATCTTTCATTAGCATCCACGGTCTCTATCTACTTCTTACCATCTTTACCTTAAAGAATAAAATCCTGAGACATGGAAGCCAAGAGAAGTCACAGTGTGGAAAGTTCATAAGGCTAAAACTTAAGACAAGCAGGTTTTAATACATACTGTGCCACTAAATAGTTTTGTGAACCTAGGAAGGTAACCTGGTCTTTTTGAGTGTCGGCTTTATCACTGTCTTATCAACTAGCTCTAGAAGATGCCTTCTAGCTCCAATAGCTCATGAAACTATGTCCTACATCAATAACTACAGTGAAGAGAGACATATGCAGAGTTCAGAGAATCTACCCCTTCCCTAGTGCTTCACATTTGGCTAACTTCCTTAAGCCTGACACTGGATAAAGAAACACAGAACACTTTAATTTATGGCCCAAACAAAAGATACTTTTAATTAACATTGAAGCCAATTCCACAGACAGTGTCTGGAAGTGAGCCCAGAAGAAAAGAAAGATTATAATATAACCAAATAAACCTTTAAAAGATCAAAAAATAGTTGAAGAGGAATTATGTGTACCTGAGTAAGTCAAGGTAAGGTCTTGTGGGGATAAACTGATTTGAGCATGCAGCTTCAGCTCAGCTAGGTTGCAGATATCTGTGCCCCTTTAAGTGGTCAAGGAAGCATACCCAATAAAGACTCTTTTACTTTTCACTTTGCAGAGTTATCTTTGGCCAGAAATACATGGCAAAACACAGAGGAGTGTCTGTTTCTTAGAGCGATTCCTACTAATCGGAAGTATAAGGAAACTTTTGGGATGATGGATATGTTTATTCTCTTGATCGCAGTGATAGTTTTCTGGATGTATGTATATCAAAACATATCAAACTACACACTTTAAATATGTGTGGTTTGTAATATATTAGCTATCCCTCAATAAAGTTGTTAAACATTCTATAGCAATTATTATAATTACCTTATTCTTCAGTCTCATTCATATGTTTCCCTTGGAGGTCCTTTTGAGAGAATAGTTCTGGCTTAGGACAGAACTTCAGCATTCCTGGGACCCTGGCCAAATTCCACTTCAACAGCACCCTAATTTCATCTTGAGTAATAACACCTTTCACCCTTTGCACAAGGGATCCTTCTTCCTTGAGAGACTTTCTTGCTTTTATCATTTCCTCTCTCAGTGCAGCATCTTAGTGACTATGTGGCCTCTGCTGGTCTAGAAAACCATACTGAGAAAAGGAGCAACAATGCAAGCAACCAGAAAAATAATGGGTAGAATCTATGAGCAACAGAAATGACAGCAAGAAAGGCATCCAAGGAATGGGCAGATTTCCAAGGAAGCCATGGTGGACCATCTACATGTACACAGACATTGTTGGATATAATTGACTATGAGAAATATTATAATGCAGAAGCTTAGGAACGCCACTAACAAAGATCTGCAGAAAGTGGCAGCAAGATGGGGGAGCAAGAACATTTTATTTTATAGTTACCTAAAGCTGAATATAACTCAGGGCTAGCGGAGGTCTTTGTTTAATGATTGTCTGAGAAGACAATATGTAAATATATATCAAGCATATGCTTTTTATTACAATGTAAAAGGAACTAATGAAATAATGCATGTGAATGGGCTTTGTAAAGTGCAGGGCATACATAACACTAAACACTAAGTGTTCTTTAGTATAGCTTAGAAGAATTAATAATTAGGGACAAAATATATGTTGACAGTGTAGAAAGCATAATAAACAGAATATAGAAGTCAAAAGAAGTCTGAGTGTCTTTATAGGGTTTATTTCTGAATCACATGAGCCAACAACTTGGCAAGGGATCATATATATTAACAGTCTTATTAAACTATAAAACATGCAAAATGTTTATTTCGAATAACATACATGTATATGTGAGTGTGTATATCCATCTTTTTATTTGTACATTTATATATTTAAATTTTTCTTGTTATGTGTCTTACCATTTTGACTTCTATGGAAGGTCAGCAGTCTGGACTTATGGCTCAGCCAAAAGTTTAGGCATTCTCCTATAGCATCTCTGAATGTTAGAGATTGTTATATGTTATATTGGTCAGGTCAACAGCTACTTTCTTGAAAAAGAGACTATGCGATTTGCCTTAAATGAAATTGAAATATCCCTATATTAGAGTAGCTCCAACTTATTTTATGCTGCAGTATATTTAAAAGTTTAAACTATGCTTTTTGCATAGTTTAAACTATGCCATGCCCTCTTCAGGGAAATCCTGTCTTCCCACATCTATCAATGTGATGATTTAGCCCTAGGTTACAAGGACACCACGTCTTTGATCACAGTAATTAGTTCAGCTATGGGCACATGATTGAGGCTGGGCCAAGTAGGATTATACCTGAAATTTTTGCTGTAAGTGTTGATAATAAGGTGATCTCTTCTCACACTCTTTAACAACTAAGATTACAAAGCTGAAGTTGTTGGTGGTTACCATAAAAAAAGAAAATGTATTTCAGAATGAAGCCAAGATACAGAACGGAAAGCCACGCTAGAAATGGATAGTGTTTCCATGCCAATATTTGGGCCTCTAGGTCTAATCATTCCTGAAGTCAGATGCACCACTCTGTTTTCCAGGTACATAAGCCAACAATACCTTTATTTATTATATGAATTTAAGCTGCTTTTCTACTACTTGCAATCAACAAATGCCAATCTTACATGAAGGATATAAAATGCAGGTCCCTTACAAGACATGAATTTTACCATTGGTGCCACCACATTAAGTTATTTTCCACCCAAGTATCAAAGAAAAACTAGCTTTCAAAGAAGTTGTATTTACCTTGAGGAGATTTAAATGTCTTGGCCTGCAATTTAGGACTAGAAGAGCTTAAAACTGCCTTCACTCTCAAAAAGATAAACCTAGTAGAAATCTGGGTACAGTGCATATTCCAACACCTTCTTTGGATAGAGTGTGAAATACACGGCTGTGTACTTTGGTTTAGGTGATTTTCAGTTCTGTTTACCCAGTCTAGCAAATGAAGTTATTCACTTAAGTTGACCATGTCTGTCTTACCATATTGAAGAAAGAAAATTTTCATATTTTCCTCTATGGTCTGTGCATGTACTATATGGTACACTGTGCTATGTAGTACAGTGAGTAATGAGGGGAAAATGAAACATTTTACATTTCCTTAATGTGCCAAATAAACCTTTTAAAATAGTTACATAAGGCATCATACCCTGATACAGCAAGATTTTCATTTTTCTAGAATAAATATATCTCAGAAAGAGTCCAGTAGCATATTGCTCATCTCAAAAAGTCTTCAAATAAGAAGCAGTTTCTTTAAATCTGATTGGTAAGCTGGCTATGAGTCAGCCAACAGGGAGTTCACATGCCTGTCATACTTTATCAGGAAGAAATATTTGAGCTAATTTATATTACAGAAATCTCACTGGTATAGATTTTACTGGAATCAGTTCTTCAGAGAAGAAATTAAAAGTTTTCTCTCTAAATCAATAGGAATTCTCAAGCCTGAAACTTTCCTGAATTTAGAACATGTAACTAGTCTTTGAATACAAACTGAACTCTTTGACAATAGGTTGTGAAATAGTGCCTGTATACATACATAGAAAATATACACACAGACAGACACACATTTATAAGAATAACTGACATTTGAGGTCTACTTACATTTACTCATGCATATTTACCTCTGGGTCTTTGTCAATTTCTCCCATTGCTTTTATATCAGTAAGGAATTAAAACAGAAGTGCTTGCCTGCAGTCAATTCTTAATATTCCATTGATTCTGCTTATCTCAAGTAACTATTTTTGCTACTATTCAATCTTCAAATGAAAAGCAATTTTCTGTATTATAAGTGATCCAATTCTACTGTTTAAATGTCCAAATTGATTTGACAGTTATTCTCATTACTTCAGCTTTTAAAATAATGAAATACACAGCCTCCCGAGTGGCTGGCCAATAACTGTCATTTAATCAATTTCCAAAAATATATATGTTTGTTGAACACAGATCCCTTTCCTCCTAATTTTTCTTTTACTCAAAGTTATTCCTTACAGCCATTATTCATTTTGGTACTTGTCTTATCCCAAATGTGGCCTGTGGCAGCCCCTTCAAGCTAGCTCCTGCCCTTTTGATATGCCCCCATAATTATTTAAGCACTACCTTGCTTTTTCGCATAACATGAGATTTGGTCTTTTTTCTGATACATACCTGACATCAGCCACTTATTTCTCCAAGGAACTCTGCTGTGGAGAATAATATTTAGAAATTAAGATCTGACTGCTAGGGGCATGCTCATGACAACCATAGTTTTATTTCCTTTAAATCCTGTAAGTGGACAGAGCTGAAGAAATGTATTTTAAATAAATATTAACATTGACAATTTATACCTTAATGTAATATTTGCTTTCCTCACATTACCCCATGGCATGTTTGTATTTTTCTTCTCCTACTGTCACAATCTTAGTTCCCCCAAACATCAACGTATGTAAGTCATTTGTTCAGCTTTATAACATAAAATGGTTATACAAAAATGGTTTATACACAAAATGGCTTCAGAATTACTACATCAAGACCATAATCAGCTCTTCTTTAAAAAAAGAAAAAGAGTATCAAGTCATACATGTAGAAGAAATAATATAATTAGAAAATCTACGTTCTGTAATTAACAGTGTAATAATTGAGTCAAGTGAGGAACACTAACAGATCCTAAAACTATTTGGTACAAGCTTATTGGAGAATCCACTTAATCCCAAAGTATCACCATATTTTAATTAATAATAACTTAATTATGCATTAATTACAAAAAGTGGAAAGTACCTTTACAATGGGGAGGTATGCGAGATATAAATAGAGGTGGCCAAGTTACCAAATGGCCAATGATAAAACCAACTGACCTTACAGGTCTCCTGATGTGATTCAACTGGAAGGGCACATTATGTTTATAGTATTTTTACCAAAATAACGAAAATTTAATTCTGAATCTGTTCATGAGGAAAAACTGGAAAAATAAGATTGGAGGCATTTTACAATACCACTGATCTAGAATCTTTAAAAATGTCAACTGTTCTAGAATAAAAGGGCAGTACAACTTCAAACCATACTACAAGGCTACAGTAACCAAAACAGCAGATATTAATAAGAAATGATTCAAATAAGAGTCCAGGACCTTTCATGGAATAAATAAGAAAAGAATCAGAAAATAAAATGATACTTAATATCAATAAAATACTTAAATGTGTTGATTACTTAAAATGCTTAAAATAGTTGAAATACACACAAAGCAATGGAACAGAATAAAGAGCCCAGAAATAGTGCTACACACCTGCAACCATCTGATCTTAATATCAATAAAATACTTAAATATGATTTAAGTATTTGCTTAATTTTGTAAAAAGAAATGATCTTCAACAAAGTCAACAAAAACAAGCACTGGCAAAAAGACGCCTGTTCAATAAATGGTGCTGGAATAACTGGCTAGCCATATACAGAAGATTGAGACTCGACCTCTTCCTTACACCATATATAAAAATCAACTCAAGATGGATTAAAGACTTAAATGTAAACCCTAAGACTATAAAAACTCCTGAAGATAACACAGAAAATACCATTTTGGACATAGGACCTGGCAAACAGTTAATGACAAAGACACCAAGAGCTTCTTCACAGCAAAATAAACTATCAACAGAATAAACAGACAACCTACAGAGTGGAAAATATATCTGCAAGCTATGCATCTGACGAAGGTATAATATTCAGCATTTATAAGGAATTTAAACAAATTAACATGCAAAAAGCAAACAACCCCATTAAAAAGTGGGCAAAGGACATCAACAGATACTTTTCAAAAGAAGACATACATGCAGCCAACAAGCATATGAAAACAGGCTTCATATCACTAATCATCAGATAAATGCAAATCAAAACCACAGTGAGATACTATCTCACACCAGTCAGAATGGCTATTACCAAAAGTTAAAAAATAACAGATGCTGGCAAGATTGCAGAGAAAAGGGAATTCTCATGCAAGGCTGGTGGGAATGTAAGTTAGTTCAACCACTGTGGAAAGCAGTGCGGCAATTTCTCAAAGAACTTAAAGCAGAACTACCTTTTGACCCAGCAATCTCATTACTGGCTATATCCCCAAAGGAATAGAAATCATTCTACCATAAAGACACATGCATGCATATGTTCATCACAGCAATATTCACAATAGCAAATACATGGAATCAACCTAAATCCCCATCAATGATAGACTGGATAAAGAAAATGTGGCATATACACACTGTGGAACACTACACAGCCATAAAAAGAATAAGATCACGTCCTTGGCAGCAACATGGATGGAGCAGAGGCCATTATCCTAAGCAAACATATGAACAGAAAACAAAATACCATGTGTTCTTACTTCTAAGTAGGAGCTAAACATTGAGTATGCGTGGACATAAAGAAGGAAACAACAGACACCAGGGCCTACCTGTGGACGGAGAGTGGAAGGAGGGTGAGGATTGAAAAACTACTTATCAGGTACTTATTACCTTATTTTGTCACTGCCTGGGTGACAAAATTGTCTGTACACCAAATTCCCATGACATGCAATTTAGCTGTATCACAGACCCGCACATGTACTCCTGAACCTAAAATAAGCTTTAAAAAAATGAATAAAGAAAGTAAAACAACACGGCAACCTGAGGTAATGCATGACTCTTGGTTGGATAAACAAGAATAAAACAATAATCAAAAGAAAAGAGAAAAACACTACTACGAAGAAAAGGAATTTTTCACATGGACTATTTTGGATAATATTTATCTATGTTCTTTCTTTGGTGAATTCATGGTACTGTATTTAGGAGAACGTCCTTGTTCTTAGGTGAATAGGCATTTCAGTGTGAAGTGTTATGATGTCTACAATATACAAATGGCTCAGCAAAAATAAAAATGAAAAGGGAAAGAGAAAGAAAAATCAAGTGTGACAAAAAGTTAACAATTGGGGAATCTAGGTGAAGAGTATAGGATGTTCATTGTGCTAATCTTGAAACTGTCTATAGATTTGACATTTTTCAAAATAAAAAGAGGAAAAAACCCTCAACTCTTCATTCTGGTAAGCTATATTTCAGCTCAAGAAAAAATACTATGTGTCAGCCTCCTTCACAAGTCACTTAAACAGATTTTGTTATTTCTCCTTAATTGGCCAAACTTGTTTTTAATAAACCCACAAGATAGTTTCCGATTAAATAACAGAGAAGAGTCAAATAAAAGAAACATGGCATCTGTGATCCAAACGGAAAAAAAATCGTCTGTCAAAATATTATTTTATGTTGTGTCTTTGTTGTGCTCAGCAAGTCATGCCACTTTGTTATTTTTTTAAAGCCCAGTTAGAAAAGTTTAAATTTATTTTAAAAGGACATGTCAAGCAAATCCCAGCAGGGTTTGTTCTCATCAATTTGTGTCTTTCATAAAGCTGCATTTTGTTCTGATTAAATGTGTTTTTAAATTTTTTAGCCTGAGCATAAAAATCTGGTTAAAAATTAGCTGGTAAGTTGAAAGACTGATAAAGCTGTTATTTTCAAAATATACGTGCTAATTTGGAACATCTTGATTCTTATTATGGAAATGGATAAGGGAAGGAAGGGTGAAGTTAGAGTGATTTACAAGTTGGTTCCCAGAAAATTCTCCTCTTATGAAAAGGATGTGGCCTGAATGTGTATTGTATGTCTTCACTGTTCCATTTTGTAAATTTTGGATTTTCCATAAAGAAGAGAAAGGGCACAGGAGCTGGAGCATGTAACTCAGAAGGAAAAATTCATCTCCTCCTCACCTAGCACTGAATGTTTGACCTAATGGAAGTTTCTTGCAAAGGGTTTTGATACCAATATGTTCCTGAGTCTAGAAGGGGAGTCACAGGTGAAGCCACAAAGAAGGCGGCAAAGCCTTTACTCTAAGTACTCACTCCTTGAGGTTTGGACCAAGCACGAGCACCACTCAGGAGCTTGTTAAAAATATAGGGACTCTGGCCTCACTTTAACACTGATGTATGAAAATCTGCATTTTAATTAGATCCTCCAGTGATTCATTTGTCTATTAAAATTTGAGAAGCACTGTTCTGAAAGAAGTGGCTCTCTGCTTTAGCTACTATGCTGTAGAATCACCTAGGAATTCAAACTTTCTTAAGCC
The DNA here is from genome assembly GCF_000001405.40 of Homo sapiens. Taxonomy (NCBI): domain Eukaryota; kingdom Metazoa; phylum Chordata; class Mammalia; order Primates; family Hominidae; genus Homo; species Homo sapiens. The sequence goes on from NC_000011.10 coordinate 109,685,172, forward strand.
TGATGTAGCGGGCCAAACTGTGTCTCCTCAAAAAAGACTTATGTTCAAGTCCTAACCCCCATACTTATGATGGTGACCTGATTGGAAATAAAGTCTTTGCAATGTCATCAAGGTGATTTAGGGTGGATCCTAAATCTAACTGGTTTAGTTATAAGAGAAAGAAGGTAATTTGGATACAGAGACACAGGGATAGAGAAGACAGCCATGCAGCAGCAGAGGCAGAGATTGGAATGATGCAACTACAAGTCAAGGTATGCTTAAGAGTGCTGGCAACTACCAGAAGCTAGGGAGAAGCAAGAATGGATCCTTCCGTCAGAGGCTTGAGAGGGTGCATGGCCCTGCTGACTCTTTGATCTCAGTTTCCAGCCTCCAGAACTGTGAGAGAATACATTTCTGTTGTTTTAAGCCACCACGTTTGTGGCAATTCTGGTAGCCCTAGGATACTAATACACTTGTGTCTTGCTTCGAGAAATCTTGATTTCATTGTTCTGTGGCATAGCCTGAGCATTTTGAAGTACAGAGATTCTAATATAGGGCCAACGTCGAGACCCACTACTCCGTGTTTGAAACAGCTAAGAAGGCAGTTTCCTACCTAAGTCTTAGAAAAAGTCAAGGGAATTAGAGAGTGATGAAAAAAATATTGTAACTTAGTGAAGATTAAAGCTAAGTGTTACTAGGTGTTTTTCTTAAAATCATGCTCAAAATAGTATACATACACAGCACATAGCATTCAAATTTATATATAATAATGTCCATTGTTTTGCTTTGAAGATTAACACAGCATTTTAATAGAAAACATAACAATTCGTTGGAATCAGATCGACTCATATCATTACACCTGCAAGAGGGTTGTCATTGTGTTACAGGGCCAGGCTTTACTATTCATCTGCTAGCAGATTAGTGCTTTGGGGGAAAGAAATAGTCCATTATATTGATTCTACAAATCAAGTCCCAGGAGTTAATACAAATGTCTAGTCCACAGTCCTGATCTTTTCCACATTCATGAAATGTAAGCCTAATTTGAGAATTCTGCTATAAACATTCTCAAGTATAATATTTATTATTTACAGGAATTTTACAGGAACATTGATGAGAACCCATTAAATGTGTTATAAACAACACATTATTATTAGAAAAGAAAGAATTTTAAACAGCCAACCTGATTCACACTATACAGTAGCAGAATTCTCAGTTTACTTATGTATTGAAAAGTATCTGAAAAATAAGGTTCAGGCCGGGCACGGTGGCTCACACCTGTAATCCCAGCACTTTGGGAGGCCGAGGCAGGCGGATCACGAGGTCAGGAGATTGAGACCATCCTGGCTAACACCGTGAAACCCCGCCTCTACTAAAAAATACAAAAAATTAGCCCGGCATGGTAGCGGGCGCCTGTAGTCCCAGCTACTTCGGAGGCTGAGGCAGGAGAATGGCGTGAACCCGGGAGGCAGAGGTTGCAGTGAGCCGAGATTGCGCCACTGCACTCCAGCCTGGGTGACAGGGCGAGACTGTGTCTCAAAAAAAAAAAAAAAAAAAAAAAAAAGAGAAAGAAAGAAAAAAGATAAATAAGGCTCAAACTCCCTTCTACCAAATCTTCTGAATATTTGCCAGGTAATTTGATGATTCACATATCATATTTATGTGGTATCCACACAGATGTGTGAGACTCCCAGTCCTTGACCCAAACAAGTGTAAAACTATAGAAAAACATCTGGGAAGATTATGCACTAGATAGTAGGGTTAATGGTGGATTTTTAAAAGTTCTTACTTTATTCTACTTACCCATATTTTCTAGCTTTTCTCCCATAAACAAGTAGAGCATTTTTAATTAAAAAAATAGGATTGTTTTACATTTTTAATAAAAGGGCCAAAAGCAAGGAACACATTATCAGATAAATATTGATGTGAGTTTCTAAGTCAAGCCACACACCCTGGATATAATAAGCTTAGAATTAGCCATGAATGTTAAACTGAGAGAAAATGCCCCAAATGTGATTTATTTCCAACCATCAAGATTATTGCTACTTCCTTCCATGAGTTATATCTGTAGCAAACATTCTAAACTTTCCTAGAGAAAAGCTAAATTAAATTAACAGTAAGTTGATAAATTAATGCATCTAAATTTTGCAGTTACAACTCGGTAGGGAGAGAAGCATACACCACCACCCCAGCCCATATTGGATGCTAGTAGTTGAAAAAGGGAAGGAAGCTAGAATTTAATGGAACACTTGATCATGGAAGGCAATATAATAGAAACTTTGTAAATAAAAGCCCTTTCAATTACTGCAACTGCCATATGAGGTAGATAATGAAAGTGAAGCTCAGAGACTCTTGAGTCACGCATGGTCAAAATTTAAGTGGCAGAGCTGTGTCTTAACACCACACTTTCTGATTTATAGTTCAGAAAGGGCTTAAATTTTAAGCTCAGAATGCAATGATGTGCATGAAGGGCCAAGGATGAGGATTTCCACAGGGTTCTTTTAATGTTAAGTTTAATGGGACACTGCTGAACAACAAAAAAATGCTAAGAAAAAAAAAAACAGGATAAAGAAACTAAGGTGTAAGAAAGAGTAGCAAAATGCAAAAAAAAAAATAGTTTAAAGGATTAAAAGGCAAATTAAAAAGAGAATCATGACTTAGTTAGTTTTAGAAGGTAGTAAGTTAGGCAAACTATGATGCATCAAGTCAAAACACTATAGAAAAGAGGAAGAACAGTAAAGTGCCTATTGACCTAAAGACAGAAATACCATTCGACCTAGCAATCCCATTACTGGGTATATACTGAAAGAAATATAAATCATCCTATTAATAAAGACACATGCACGCATATGTTCATTGCAGCACCATTCACAATAGCAAAGACATAGAATCAACCTAAATGCCTATCAGTGATAGACTGCTTAAAGAAAATGTGGTACATATATACCATGGAATGCTACACAACCATAAAAATTAATGAGATCACGTCTTTTACAGGGACATGGATGGAGCTGGAGACCATTATCCTTAGCAAACTAATGTAGGATCAGAAAACCAAATACTCTCACTTAGAAGCAGGAGCTAAATGATGAGGACACATGGACACATAAAGAGGAACAACACACACTGGGGCCTATCATAGGGTAGAGGGTGGGAGGAGGGAGAGGATCCGGAAAAATAACTAATGGGTAGTAGGCTTAATACCTGTGTGACGAAATAATCTGAACAACAAACCCCCATAAGACCAGTTTACCTATTTAACAAAACTGCACATGTACCCCTGAATGTAAAAGTTCAAAAAGGAAAAATAAAAACACACAAACTGATTAACACCAAAGGAAACCCCCCAAAAGTGCCTATTGTTAGTATGTGATATGTGTGTTTACTGATAAATAATTGTGATATTCTTTGAAGTGCCACATTTTCATATCAACATTAAATGGTATTAAAGGTGACAGCAGTAGCAAGGCAGGGAATTCCATAGCCTAAAGTGCATGAAGAAGAGAATATAATTAAGAGGCACTCTATTTGTCTAACAGAACCCTAGAGATTAATAGAATTTTGCATCACCTGTTATTAGAGAAGGCAAGAATGAGATGCAATAATAAAATCACGAATCAAATTAGAAACAAAAGGAAACTTTCTCTACCTGATAAACGGAAGCTATGAAAAACACACAGCTAACATCATACTTAATAGTGAAAAATGGAAAGCCTTCCTCCTAAGATCAGGAACAAGACAAGGATATCCACTCTGCCACTTCTTTCAACATTGTATTGAAGGTCCCAGTCAAGGCAACTAGTCAATAAAAAGAAATAAAAGGTATTCAGATTAGAAAGAAGAAGCACAACCACTTCTATTTGCAGATGACATAATCTTGTATCTAGAAAATCCTAAGGAATTTACAAAAAAAAAAAAAAACTGTTAGAGCCAATACACAAATCACAAATTTCAGCAAATTTTCAGGATATGAGATCAATGTGCACAAATCAGTTGTGTTTCTACAACTATCAATGAACAACCTGAAAATGAAGTTAATACAGTAGTGTCGTGGAAATAGCATAAAAATAATAAAATATTTAGAAATAAATTTATAAAAGAAGCATAAGATTTTTACATTGAAAACTATAAAATATCATTTAAAAAATTAGAGAAGACCAAATAAATAGACAGCCATCCTCTGTTTATGGATTGGAAGCCTTACTATTGTTTAAATGATAATACTCTCCAAATTAATCTACAAATTCAATGCAAGCCTTATTTGACCTATCAAAATCCAAGCTGCCATTTTTGCAGAAATTGAAAAATTGATCCTAATATTCATGTGGCAATGCAAGGGGCCTGGAATAGCCACAACAATCTCGAAAAAGAAGAACAAAGTTAGAGGACTCCCACATCCTATTTCAAAACTCACTACAAATCTACAGTAATGAAGACTGCATAGTGATAATATAGAGACAGACATATTTATCAAGAGAATAGAATTGAGAATTTGGAAATAAACCCATATATCTATGGTCCATTGATTTTCCAACAACAATGCTAAGACAATTTAATGAGAAAAGAATGGTCTTTTCAATAAGTAGTGCTGGGACAACTGTATATCCACGTGTAAAAATATGAAGTTGAAACCCTACCTCCTACTATATATAAAAACTTAAATGAATCAAATACCTAAATGTAGGAGCTGAAACGATAAAACTCTTAGAAAAAAATCATAGGCAAGAATCTTTATAATCTTGTATTAGGAAATGATTTCTTAGATTTGAGACCAGGAGCACACCAACAAAAGAAAAATAAGGAAGCCAGACATCCACAAAATTAAAATAGTTTATCCTTCAAATGGCACCATTAATAAAGTGAAAAGGCAACCCACAGAATGGGAGAAAATTTTGCAAATTATATGTCGGTTAATAGACTTATATTTAGAATATATAAAGCACTCTTACAACTTAATAATAAGAAAATAACCCAATTAAAAATGGGCTAGTTTGGAATAGGCATTTCTTGAAATAAGATATATAAATAGTCAATAAGCATATGAAAAGATGCTCAACATCATTAATCATTAGGGAAATTCAAATCAGAGTCATGATGAGATACCATGTCACACCCACTAAGATTGATACAATTAAAATGACTGAAAATAACAAGTGTTGGTTGGAATGTGGAGAAATCGGAACCTTCATATATAGCAAGTGCAAATGTACAATGGTGTAGCCACTTTGGAAAAATGTGCAGCATTTTCTCAAAATATTAATCATGGAGTTATTATGTGGCCTAGCAATTCTATTCCTAGGTATATGCCCATGAAAACATATGTCATGCAAAAACTTGTATACAATGTTCATAGAATCGTTAATCACAATAGTTCATAAGTGTAAATAACCAAAAAGCATATCAACTGATGAATGGATAAAGCAAATATAGCATTCTTCATCTCTTTCTATATAATGGAAAAAAGAAATGAAGTATTGATGCATGCTATTATGTGTATGATCTTTGAAAACACTACGCCATGTGAAAGAAGACAGACATCATATTGTATAATTCCATTTTAAGAAATGTCCAGAATAGACATAGAGACAGAAGGTAGATAAGTAATTGTCAGGTTCTGGAGAGATGAAGGAATATGGAAGGACTGTTAATGTACACACGAGTAATGTACACATGGGTAATTTGTGGGGAGGGGGAGGTGAAAATCCTTTAAAATTAGATAGTGGTGATGATGGTGATGGTTGTATAACTTTGCGTTTACTAAGGACACTTCACTGTTCACTTTACAAGTGATTTTATGATATGTGAATTTTATCTTAAAGTTTGTATTAAAAAATAAAACCATGAGGAGACCTTACAGTGACCAGACAAAAAGAATACAATAATAGTAGAAAAGAATGTAATGCAAGGTTAAAATTCAATAGGTGAAACAGACCCACACATACTCCCCTCTTCTGCTTGTTCCCCTCTGCTGAAGACTTGACCACACATCATCTTCATTAGGCTGAAGACAGAGGGTTCTTCTGAAGATTAAATGGCCTCAGAGGAAAATAAACTCCTAACATTTGAGAGTGCACAATAATAAAAGTCATCTCCGCCTCTCTTTACAAATAAAACATACCAAGAAATGAAGCCCACAATTGTGTGTATTTCCTTCCAAAACTAAGGGTCACCAAACATTTGACGAGTGTCTCCAACATGAGAGGCATTGGAGTTAAAATGGCATCATAAAGATAATATAAGAGAACTAAAGCAACAAAAAACAAAACAAAACTGTGTAACTATAAAACAAGGGCAAAATACTATTTTTAAAAAGAATAATCAGAATGAATAAGAGCTCTTGGAAATAAATGACCCCCCCCCAAAATCAAGAACTAGAAGTCCAAAATTGTGGAAATCACCCAAAACTTGGAACAAAAAGACAAACAATATAGGAAAAACAAATGTGAGAGTCATAGGAAATCAATACAGGACATTTAATACCTAGAAAAAGAAAACTAAGAAATTGGAAGATTTTTTAAAAGGGTTTTGTCATAGGTTAGCTTCCCAATGAGATGGACCCTGAGACCCTGAAATTCTCAAGCAGCATGCTTCCTGGGGAATACTTTTGGGAAGACAACCTTTGAGAGGTGAAGAAAGTGGGACCAGGCAGAGAGAAAGAACTGCCCAATACAACTGGTTGGAGGCTTCAGATAATTTTATAGTTGGCATGACCTTTAGAATTGTTCCAGCTGAGGCAATATCCTCGGTATGTAGAACCACACACTGACCTGTCAATAGACGCAGGCTGCCCCCAAGATGGGGCATAACTTTGGGAAAGTCAATATGGGCAATTCCTGGGGTGGGGCTCAGTTGTGAGCCTTCAGCATCAACTTCCCCTAGCAAATGAATGCCTCAGTCTGGTAGGGGTCCTAAGTTACAGGCTAGCATCTTCTACAGGTTTAAAGATTAAAACCAAGAAGATCTTCCAGAAGGTAGAACAAAAAGTCAAAGACAGAATATGAGAAAAGCATTCATAGGAGATCAATCCAGGAGACCAAATCCAGGAGTTCCTGATAAAGAGAAGAAAATGCAAAGTCTTTTTTTAAAGTACAGATGATTTCCCAGATAAAAGATAAAAGTCTCCAGAATGAATTCATTTTATTGGGCACTTGATAGGCTTTTTCAGTCTGGAGACTCAAGTCCTTTAGCTTTGAGAAATTATCTATATGTAAATATGTATAAAGTATATTTCCTGGGCCAGGCAGTAGATCTAGACCCACATTTAGGCAAGTTTTCTTAGAATATTTAGAACTAAAAAAAATTTTAAAAGGGCAAAAATTTAGTAGAAAAATGCATACTGTAAAAACTAAAAGCATCAAAGGTAGAAGATAAGCGATAGAGTTGGGAAGGAGGCTTCCAGATGGTTGACTAAAGGGATCCAGTACTTGCCCCCTTCACAACAAAGGATGAAAACAGTGAGTAGAAAACCACATGTCGAACAGAGCATCTAACAGAGAACACTGGAATTCAGCAGGGAAGGGAAGTAACAGGGACCCTCTGAAGCACAGAAGGAAAGGAAAACCAAGCAGCTGGCAGGGATCAGCTCAGTGCCAAGAGCCACACCCTGTTGTGGGGAAAAGGTAAGTGAGAGATATACAACAGCCCAAACTCCCACCATGGATTCCTGCAATCCTAGCCACAGGGGAACCCCTTAACTTTTGTGGGGCCCTAAGATAAGTATAGAGAGCTACCTGGAGTCCACAAAAAAGCATTGTTCCAGACAGGGAAGTTGCGCCGGGTCCCAGGCACCCCCTGAGACCCAAGCAGCTGCAACATAACACCATCTTGAAACTCCAGCTCGGACCAGACTACATCATACTCTGGGTCTCAAAAGCCCCTGTAGCTTCATATCCCTGGAGCCCTACTGACATTCCCCTATGTCCAGCCAGAGGATTGCAAGATTGCAGTGCCAGCTGTTCCCAGTGGTGTCTCTGGGTCCCCAGCACTCTAGCCTATGCTGTGTCCTATACCCCAGGGATCAGGTGGGATGGCACACCAGGGAGCCTTCTCCTAGGACAAAGGGAGCCAAAGTACATGGCCCCCAGAGCCTGGTAGTTACCTGCCTGGAGCCACCGCCATGGCTGCAACCCCTCACCCCCACCCCAGCAACAGGGCTGACATGCAGCTGCATACACTTTCAGAAAGCCTGGGGACTGGCCTACCTGTGTGTTGTCCTGGGGCATGAGTACAGGCTTGCCCCTCCCACTGCCATTGGTCCCCATGTGCACCATCCAGGGGCATAAGGACAAGCATGCCCTGCCCACCACCATCACCTCCAGCACCTAAGCATGCTATCCAGGGATCTGGGGATTGAACTGCCTAATTTTCTATAGTGGGTGCTCATGTACACCATTAGAGGATGTGAGGATGGGCCTGCCTTCCTGCTGCCACTGCCACCAGTGCTCACACACATTGTCCAAGGGCCTAGGGATTGATCCACCCCACCCACCACTGCTGGTGCCCATGTGTACCATCTGGGAGCCTGAAGAAAGGTTTACCCCTTCAGTCACCACTGGTGCCCATATGTGTCACCTGGGGGCCTGGGAATTGACCATCCTCATCATCCACTGGTGCACATGTGTGCCACCCATGGGCATAAAGATGAGCCTATCTCGCCTTCTGCCAGCATGCAAGTCTTTCTCCCAGGGTGGTGGCAGGCCATGGGACCAGCCCACTCAGCCTGCTACTGCCACTACTTCCACCACCTAGAAGCTGGGGAAGCAGCCTACCTAGTCCACCATGACCACCACTGGAACTTGCAGGCAATGCTCAAGGGCCCAAAAGATGACCTGCTGCCACTACTTCCACTGCTGATACCATGCACACCACTCAGAGGTTCAAGGATGGCCTTCTGCTGCCACCAACAGCACCTGAGCACGTGACCTGGAAGCCCAAGGACTGGCCCACACAGATTTTCCATAGTTAGCACCCATGTATGCCACTCAGGGGATTGAAGACCAGCATGCTCAGCCCATCACTGCCATCAATGGTGCCAAGGACCTATCTGCCTGGTGTCCCCATCTCTAGCAAGGCCTCACCACAGCTTCCACTAACAACCACAGCCTAAGCCACTGTGGAACTCACAGACACCGCTCATGCTGACTACAGCTAAAGAAATTACATAAGATTTTACTACTGTGCCCACCTGGAATCAAAGCCAAAGACCCTACTCAACACTATAGCTATGTCTTTCCCTACAAAAGCCAAATCATAAAACTGAAAGAAACAATCATTACAACAGACACACAGGTATTAACATAAGGATACAAAGAGCAAGGAATTATTAAACCTTCAAAGGAACACAATAAATCCCTAGTAACAAATCTCAAAGAATAAAAATCTATTAAACCGTACCTGAAAAACAATTCAAAATAATACTAAAGAAACTCACTCAGTGAGATACAAGATAAATAATACAAAGAAATAAGGAAAAAATAATTTTCTGAATGAGAAATTCAACAGGGATAGGTATTATAATAAAAATACAGAAATGCTGGAACTGAAGAATGCTTTGAATAAAATAAAAAATACAATTCAGAGCTTTAACAATAGACTAGATAAGCAGAATAAAGAATTTCTGGACTTGAAGACAGGTTTTTTGGTAACCTAGTCAGACAAAGAAAAAGTTATAAAGAAAGCCTACACAATATATGGGACACCACTAAGGGACCAAATATTCAAATTTTTTGAGTTCTATAAAGAAACGAGATGAACAAAGTTATAAAAAACTTATTTGACAAAATAATAGGTGAAAACTTTCCACATTTTGCAAAAGATATAGACATCTAGATTCCCAGATATTCAAACAATAAATGGTCTTCTCCAAAGCACATTAAAGTCAAACTGGTCAGAAGTCAAAGACAAAGAGAATTCTAAAAACAGAAAAGGAAAAACATCAAGTGAAATATAAGGGAATCTCCAATGGACTAATAGTGGATCTCTCAGCAGAAACCTTATAGGACAAGAGAGAATGGGGTGATATATTCAAAGTGAACAAAGAAAGAAAAGAAAAAAGAAAAGAAAGAGAAAAAGCTTCCAGTTAAAAATACTATAGCTAGCAAAGCTATCCTTCGAAAATGAAGGAGAAATAGTCTCACATACACAAGAAAACTGAGAATTCATTGTCACTAGATGGCCTTACAAGAAATGCTTAAGATAGTCCTACATCTGGAAACAAAAAGATAATATCATCATTAAAACACATGAAAGTATAAAACTCACTCATAGAGCAGATATACAAATGAGAAAATGAAATGAATCAAACATTGTCACTACAAAAAACTATCAATGTGTAAAGGTAAATAATAAATGAAGAAGAAAAGAACAAAGGATATACAAGACAATCAGGAAATAAACTGACAGGTGTAAGTTCTCACCTGTCAATAACAACACTGAATGTAAATGGTTTAAATTCCCCTAAAAGATAAAGTTTTGTGTTGTTTTTGGTTTTGTTTTTATTGTTTTTCTAAGATGGAATATTAGAAGATTTCAGTGTGATTCAGGCACTTGGAAATTCTGAGCTCAATTCAAGGAGAAAAATGGGAATCCACCAAAATCACGAAGGACATCTCAGATCCTGGAGAGTAGAATGCGGGCACACAGCCCCTGTGATGGTGTCCAGCTCATAAAAGTGAGTGAGGCCCCAGTACATGAGAGAGGCAGAGAGCCTGCCTCTGTGACTCATCTTTCCACTGGGAATCTGAGCAACTTGGACTGCAAGAGCGCACTTTGTTTCCCTCAAGCCCCAGAGCTAACTTAAGGAGACAGCTGGAAGTACTGAGGGGAAAAGACACTGAGAAAAGCTGTAGGCATTTTTTCAGACCCCAGACCAAGAACAGGGTGCCATTTTTAATCCAGGCACGTACAAAGTCAGACATTCTTTGGTGACCTGGCAGCCTGGCCATGCAGGCATTTTAGTCTTGGGCCAGAGATTGGAGCACTTGTTTTGGCATGCAGTAGGGGCCTCCATAGCCAGAACTGTGGGAAGTGCCTCAGCAGTAGGTGCTGGAATTCTGCTCTCCCCCATCATAGACTGGGGATGAGAGGAGAGCTACTACAGCTGCAGTTTCTCTGGAAAATGAGACTTGTAGCTAGGGCTAGCTTGGCAACCTGAAACTGGGCTGCATGTGTCATTGCTGTGTCATTCCCAGCCTGTTCCCCTGAGATTGTGGTACAGTGGGGCCCTCTCCGCTCCACCCTCAGGCAGAACTCCAGGCATTCAGAGCACATGCTTGCCTGGACTAGCCCTCTGAATCACCCCACCCTTCCTGGACGTAAATCATGGTGCAGTGAGGCCCTCTCTGTTTCATACTCAGGCAGATATCAAGTCATTTAGAGCAGCCGCTCTCATGGAATATCAACCTGAGGCACCCCACCCTTCCTGGGCAGAGGTTCTGGTGCAGTGGAGATCTCTCTGTTCCATTTTCAGGCTGAACTCCAAGCATTTGGATCACCCACTGACTAGGTTGGCAGCTTTGGCTGCCCCACCCTTCCTGTGCACAGATTGTGATACAGTGGGGCTTTCTCCACTCCCATGCCCAGGCAGATCTCCAGGCAGTCAGAGCACCCATTCAAAAGGATCAGTAGCTTAAGCCACACTCCCCTTCCTGTGCAGAGATTATGGTGAAGTGGGGCCCTCTCTGCTCTACACTCAGGCAGATCTCCAGGAATTCTTAGCACCCACTCACCTGAATTGGCAACCTGAGGTAGCACACCCTTCCCGCGCAGAGACTGGGTGAAGCAGGGCCCTCTCCACCCCACACCCAGGCATATCTCCAGGAAGACCAGGACTTCCAGCCTGAGACACTCCACCTTTTCTCTGCAGAGACTGTGGTACACTCCATGACCAGACAGATCTCTAGGCACCTGGAGAACCTACTCTCCTGGATTAGGAGTTTAGGCCACCAATCTCCTGCACCCCCACCCTTGCAATGAACTTTAGGTTGAGGAAGTTTCCCAGCTCCATGCTTAGGCACATCTTTGGATGTTTTGTGGCAAGCCACTGGATTCTCCCAGTGCTGGTGCTTGTGCCTGCCACTGGGGGACTTGCAGGTGGGCCTGCTTGGTCTGGCCCAGCCAATCATGCTCCCAGCACTCCCGGGGCTGAGCAGGGAGCTGAGACCACTCTGCATTTCATGGATTAGTCCATTGCCTGAAGCAACAGAGAGCTTCTCCCAGTAAGCAAGGATGAAGCATATACCTAGCCTAGCTGGCTGCAGCTGGCTCTTACCCTTAAGCGCCATCTACTGGCTCATAGGTTATACTACACAGTCCAATATAAAACTTGCTAAAAGTCCAGAGGGCTATAGAAGCACAGCCAAATGACCCTACCCAGGATTCTCTACACTCTAAACCCCCTTGGGGGTAGGAGGAGGGAAAGAAGAAAAAATAATATTATAGAGAAAGAAATAAGAAGAAAAAATGCTACCCTCATGAAAATAATTACAAAAATTAGAAGTGCCAGCATCTCCCGATGAGAAGGAACTAGCACAAGAATTCTGGCATCACGAAAAATATGAACTTATTGGCATCACCAAAGGATAACACTAGCTCTCCATTGATGGGCTCTAACCAAAATGGAAATTCAGAATTGACACAAATAATTCAAAGCACAGATTTCAAGGAAGTTCAATGAGATCCAAGACAAGGATGAAAATCAACACAAAGAAATTTCCAAATCAATCCAAAAAATGAAAGAAGAGGTAAATATATTAAAATGAAATCAATCGGAGCTTCTAGTGTTAAAAAACTCACTAAATTTTTCAAAATACAATTGAAAGCTTTATCAATAGACTGGACTAAGAAGAAGAAAGAATTCCAGAGCTTGAAGACTAGTCTTTTGAACTAACCCAAGAAAAAGTAAACAACCTGAAAAATATATTTGAGGGAATAATTTAAGAAAATTTCCTTAATCTTCCTAGTGAAGGAGATATCCAGATACAAGAAATCCTGAGAACACCTGCAAGATACTGTACAAAACAAACATCACTAAGACAAATAGTGACCAGACTGTCCTAGGTCAATGTTAAAGAAAAATGTCTTAATAGTAGCTAGAGAAAAAGGTCAGATAAGATACCAAGGAAACCCCATTAGGCTAACAGCAGACTTCTCAGCCAAAACCTTACAAGCCAGGAGAGATTAGGGGTCTATATTCAGCATTCTTTAACCAAAGAAATTTCTAGTCAAGAATTTCATATCCCACCAAACTAAGCTTTCTAAGAGAAAGAGACATAAAATCTGTTCCAGACAAGCAAGCACTAAGTGAATTTGTCACCATTAGACCAGCCTCATAAGAGATCCTTAAGGAAGTTCTAAACATGCAAATGAAAGAATGATACCTGCTACCACAAAAACACACTTAAGCCACCAACATAGTTGACACCCCATTAAGCAAGTACACAGTAGAAACTACAAAGCAACCAGCAAACAACTTCATGATAGGATCAAAACCTCACATATCCATATTAACCTTGAATGTAAATGATTTAAACACCCCATTAAAATGGCACAGAGTGCCAAACTGGATTTAAAAGGAAAAAAGACCCATCCATTTGCTCTTTTCAAGAGACATATCTCACATGTAAGGACACACATAGGCTCAAAGTAAAGGGTTAAAGAAATATCTATCAAAAAATGGAAGAAAAAGGAGCGGAGGTCACTAGTCTTATATCAGATAAAACAGACATTAAACCAACAACAGCAAAAAAAAAAAAAAAAAAGACAAGAGCATTACATAATGATAAATGGTTCAATTTTACAAAAAGACTTAACTATCCTAAATACGTACAAACCCAACATTGGAGCACCCAAATTCATAAAACAAGTACTTCTAAACCTATGAAAGATTGAGACAGCCACACAATAATAGTAGGGGAACTACAACACTTAACTAACGGTATTAGACAGATCATTGAGGCAGAAAACTAACAAAGAAATCCTGGACTTAAACTCAAAACTTGACCAATTAGACTTAATAGAAGTCTACAGAATACTCCACCCAATAACCACAAAATACACATTCTTCTAATTTGCACACAGAACATACTCTAAGATTTTCCACATACTTAATAAACCAAGTCTCAATAAATTTAAAAAAAATGAAATCATGCCAATCATAGTCTCAGAAAACAGTACAATAAAAATAAAAATAAATACCCAGCAGATCCCTTAAAAAACACAATATTCCATGGAAATTTAAAAATGTGCCCCCAAATGATTTTGGGATAAAAATATTAAAGTAGAAATTTAAAAATTATTTGAAATAAATAAAAATGGAGATACAACATATCAAAATCTCTGGGATGCAGTAAAAGTGTTAAAAGGAAAGTTTATAGTGCTAAATGCCTATCTCAAAAAGTTAGAAAGATTTTTAAAAACCTAACATCATACCTAGAGTAACTAGAAAAACAAGAAAAAACTAACCCCATAGCTAGCAGAAGAAAATAGTCAAAATCAGAGTAGAACTGAAAGAAACTAAGACCAAAAAAATCTATACAAAGAATCAATGAAACAAAAAGTTTATTCTTGTAAAGAATAAACAAGATTAATAGACTCTTAACTAGACTAATAAAAGAGAGAGAGAGAAAGATCCAAAGAAACACAACCAGAAATACAAAAAAAAACCTCATACATTATGAAGACATCTAGGCACACAAACTAGAAATCTAGAGAAAATGGATAAATTCCTGGAAACACATAACTCCCAAGATTGAATGTGGAAGGAATTGAAACCCTGAACAAACAAATATCAGGTTCTGAAATTGAATTAGTAATTAAAAACCTGCCAGACAATATGAGCCCAGACCAGATGGATTCACAGCCAAATTCCACCAGATATACAAAGAGCTAGTACCAATCCTATTATAACTATTCTAAAAAAAAATCAAAGAGAGACTCCTCCCTAACTCATTCTATGAAACCAGCATGACCCTGATATCAAAACCTGGCAAAGACACAGTGAAAAAGGGAAGCTACAAACCAATATCCCTGAAGAACATAGACACAGAAATCATTGAGAAAATACTAGTGAACCAAATCCAGCAGCACATCAGAAAGTTAATTCACTGTGATCAAGTAGGCTTAATTCCTGAGATGTAAGGTTGGTGCAATACACTCAAATCAATAAGTGTGATTCACCACATAAAGAGAATTAAGAAAAGCCATATGATAATCTCAATAGATGCAAAAAAAGCCTCCCATAAAATCTAACATCGCCTCGTGTGAAAAGCCCACAACAGACTAGGCATCAAAGGAACACAGCTCAAAATAATAAGAGCCATCAAACCCACATCCAACATCATATTGAATGAATGGGCAACAGCTGTAACAATTCCCCTTGAGAACCAGAACAAGACAAGGATGCTTACCCTCACCACACCTGTTCAACATAATACTAGAAGTCCTAGCCAGAGCATCAGATAAGAGGAAGAAATAAAAGGTATCCAAACAGGGAAAAAAAAAAAGAAGTCAAACTATCTCTCTTTACTGAAGATGTGATTCTATAACTGGAAAACCACAAAGACTCTACCAAAAGGCTCCTGGAACTGATAAACAACTTCGGTAAAGTTTCAGGATACAAAATAATGTACAAAAATCAGTAGCATTTCTATATACCAAAAATGTTCAAGCTGAGAGGCAAATCAAGAATGCAATCCCATTTAACACACACACACACACACACACACACACACACACACACACACAATACCTAGGAATACAGCTAACCGAGGAGGTGAAAGATCTCTAAAAGAATTACAAAACACTGTGAAAAAATTCTACAATGATACAAACTAATGGGAAAGCATTCCGCGTTCATGAATTGGAAGAATCAGTTTCTTGGTTCCAATGTCAATATTGGAAGAACCAATCTACAGATTCAACTCTATTCCTATCAAACTACTAACATCATTTTTCACATATTTAGAAAAAAAGTATTCTAAAATTCATATGGAACCAAAAAAGAATTCAAATATCCAAAGTAATCCTAAGTAAAAAGAAAAAGCTAGAGAAACCAAATTACCTGACTATATACTACAAGGCTGCAGTAAATAAAATATGATAATACTGTTACAAAAACAAACACATAGACTAATGGAACAAAATAGAGAACCCAGAAATAAAGCCACAAACATATAGCCATCTGATCTTCAACAAAATTATGAAAATCTCCTTATTCAATAAATAAAAACCCCTTATTCAATAAATAGTGCTGGGATAGCTGTCTAACCATATGCAGAAGAATGAAAGTGGATCCCTATCTTTCACTATATACAAAAATGAATTCCAGATGGATTAAAGATTTAAATGTAAGACCTCAAATTTTAAGAATCCTAGAAGAAAACCTACAAAACACTATTGCAGTCATTGGCCTTGGGAAAGAATTTATGACTAAGTCCTCAAAAGCAATAAAAAAACATCAAAAATTCACAAATGGGGCCTAATTAAACTGAAGAGCTTCTGCACAGAAAAGGAAACTATCAACAGTGTAAACAGACATCCCACAGAATGAGAGAAAATATTCACAAACTATGCACCTGAAAAATATCTAACACCCAGAATCTATAAGGAGCTTAAACAAATCAACATGCGAAAAGCAAACAACCCCTTTAAAAAAAAATGGGCAAATGATATGAACAGACACTTCTGAAAACAAGACATACAAGCAGCATATGGAAACAAGCATATGGAAAAATGTTCATTATCACTAATCATCAGAGAAATGCCAATGAAAACCACAACGATATGCCATCTTACCACCAGTCAGAATGGCAATTATTAAAAGGACAAAAAACAAGTCCTGGCAAGGCTGCAGAGAAAAAGGAACATTTATATGCTATTGGTGGGAAGGCAAATTAGTTCAGCCATTGTGGAAAACAGTCTGGAGATTTCTCAAAGAACTTAAAGTGGAACTACCATTTGACCCAGCCATCCTGTCACTGGATATACACTCAAAGGAACATAAATCATTCTACCATAAAGACACATGCATGTGTATGTTCATTGCAACAGTATTCACAATAGCAAAGACATGGAATCAACCCAGGTGTCCATAAATAGTGGATTGGATAAAGAAAATGTGGTGTATATACACCATGGAATACTATGCAGCCTTAAAAAAAGTGAAATTATGTCCTTTGCAGTAGTATGAATGCAGCTGGAGGCTATTATCCTAAGCAAATTAATACAGAAACAGAAAAACAAATACTATATATTCTCACTTATAAGTGGGAACTAAACAATGGGTACTCATGAACATAAAGATGGCAACAACAGACACAGAGGGCTTCTATAGTGGGGAGGGATAGATGGGAGCAAATATTGTAAAACTATCGGGTACTGTGCTCACTCACTAGCATCATTCATCCCCTAAACCTCAGCATTATTCAATATACCCATGTAAAAAACCTGCACATGTACCCCCCGTGTCTAAAATAAAAGTTGAAATTATAAAAAATAAAAGATATAGACTAGCTGAATGGACCAAAAACCAAGATACAACTATATGCTGCCTATGAGAAACTTGCTTTACCTGTAATGACACAGACTGAAAGTGAAGAGATGCAAAAAATTCCATGCAAATAGAAACCAAAAACATGCAGGAGTAGTGATGCTTATATCAGATGAAACCTATTTTATGTCAAAAATCATAAAAAGAAAAAGAAGGTCCTTATATAACGATAAAGGAGTCAATCAGCAAGAAGATATAATAATTGTAACTATATGCACCCAACGCCAGATTACCCAGATATATAAAGCAAATATTAACAGTGCTAAACAAATAGAACCCAATACAATAATAGTTGGGGACTTCACCCCACGTTCAGCCTTGGACAGATCATCTAGGCAGAAAGTCAACATCAAACATCAGACTTAATATGCACCATAGAACAAAGAGACCTAACAGACATTTACAGAATATTTCATCCAATAGTTGCAAAATAGTCCTTTCATTAATGCTCAGAATATCCTCCAGGATAGACCACATATTAGGCCACAAAACAAATCTCAACAAAATGTTGAAAATTGAAATCATATTAAGTATCTCCTCAGACCACTATGTAATAAAACTATAAATCAATAAAAAGAGTAACTTGGATGCTATACAAATATATGGAAATTAAACAACAGGCTCCTGAATAACGATTGGGTCAATAAATAAATAAAGAAATGAATTAAATAAATTATTGAAACAAATAAAAATCGAAACACAGCACGCCAAAACCCATGGAATATAGCAAAAGAAGTGCTAAGAGGGGAGTTTATAGCAATAAATGTCTACATCAAAAAAGTAGAAGATTTCAAATAAATAACCTAATTATGCATCTCCAGGAACTACAAAACAAACCAAATCCCAAATTAGTAGAAGGAAATGATAATTAATAATAAATAGAGCAGAACTAAATTTGAGTTTTGCAGACAGTGGGTTTTTTTTTTTACTCAGGAGTTTACATGAGGACATAAATAATCATGTTATCAAATTGTAGAATGCAATACTTGACAAAAAGTTAGATGAGGATTTTAAAAACTTTAGGCTGATAACACAAAACCAGAAGTAGTAAATTTAACAAAATAAAAACAAAATGATCCCCAGGAATTAAAAAAAAATTTAAAAAGAACAGAAAAATGAATACATGTATAATGAATCCGCCTCACCAATAATTTTTAAAAAGTTAAATTGTGATGTAATCTTTGGGGTTTGAAAAATATCTTTAAATTATGAAATCTAACGATAAGATTATAGCAAAAGTTGTAATATATATACTTGTATATTGTCACTACTTTTTCTTCTTTTGGGAAGTAATTTGGCAAGTAATTTCAAGATCGATTAAAAAAAAATCGTATTTGTAACCCAAACATTAGCTTCTGGCGATTTATCTTAAGTAATTAAAAAGAATAAAAGTTGTGTGCAAGAATATGTTCACTAAAGCTTTAGTTATAATAGTGACAAACCAAAACTATAAAAATAGAAAACAACTACTTAATCTATAGCCATTAAAATGAAAATGACTTTGGAAACTATACTGAAAGAACACATTTGGTATAATGCTTGTTGAGCAGAGAACACAAATTGTTCCCATGATGATTATGTGAACTATATGTGTGTGAATGAAATCCACATGAGAATAATTGCATTGAATCATGAAATTTTGAGTAACAGCTTTTCTTCTGTGAAAATAATTCTTCTCAATTTTACTGTAAAAACAATTACAAGAAATACATTAGCATATTTTAAACGGATGTGTTAAAAATGGGCAATTCAGGTAGACTTCCTTCGCTTTGCTGTGCATGCCTGAATTTTCTCATCTTCCCAAGTTACATCAAATATCTCACATGTGAATTGCTCTCTGTGTCACTCTGCTCTCATGCTCACTCTTCCATCTGTCAGTGTCCTTGTTACACACACACACACACACGCACGCACACACACACACACACACACACACAACCTGAAACACTTGAAACCACTCAAAAGGCTAGTATTAGGTTTCCATCAAACCCTTAAATGATAAGAGGCTAGAACTTGAGCCTTTCTGGTTTAATATTCAGAATTAGTCCTCACTCTTAAAGTACTTACTTCAATCTCCATTTTACTCTTTAAAAATACTCCATTTTTTTTCTAAATATACAGTGCAATTCAAATATACGGTGCAATTCAGATTTAATATTTTTGTCCAGCTGTCCAAACCTAGGGTTGGGGAGAAAATCAATCACAGAGTGCGGCTTTGCATTTCTGTCACTAGCTCTGGCCCCTCCTATTAATGCTGCATATTTATCCTCACTTCCCCAGGCCTGATCACTAGACAGCAACAGAATGAGCTGATAGGACATGAAAAGCTTATAGGCAGAAATGCATTTTGGAGGACTCGTAGTTCTTTTGAAACAATCTGAGGTTAATGCCTACATTAAACAAATTCAAGTAATACCTGTGGCTCCAGTTTGTGGCCAAAAGATACACAAGAATCTGAAAAGGTCACAGTCAAAAGCTCTGAGTAGCGTAACCAGAAGGCAAGAAAATATGACAACAACAACAACATATGAAGAGATCTTATGGAGTTTAAAGCTAAAGGAAAAGAGAACACAACTAACCTGGTCTGGTATTAGTTCAGGGAAAGGCAGAGCCTGCAAAAGCCTTTCACAGTCATGGTAAATTGTCACTGTTCAGTATGTCAACTTGGATTTAGCTCAATGACACCACTGTAACACACTAACGTAGATGGCAGCATGCTAAAATCTTCTAGGACTCTTTCTAAAATACCCAGGTTAATCTTGTATCATTTCCCCAGAGTTGCTGGAACCATCTGAGTGAAATCCATGGGTCAATGCAGAACCTCTCATGGGCTCTATATTTACTCACCAGGGATGAAAGGATTGTCTTAGTAATCAAGTAATGTCCTCTGACACATATCCTGCTAGAGAAGCCATCTTTTCTTTGGAACCTGAAAGCATTTTAATCACTTTATTTCAGTAATTTATACCTCATGCATTTTCTACACTGTGCTATGATTGGCTTCAGGAGTAGGTCTGAATTCAGTAAGAAGCCATTTTACAATGCTTCCAACCAAGACTAGAGAGAAAAATTTAAAAACTAGAGTAAAAAAAATGTGTCCTTTAAGATTTCTAGGCTGATGAATTTTACGTAAATAGAAAGGTTATAGATATGCATACTAAGTACTTCATATGCCTACACACACTCTCTCTCTCTCTCTCTCACACACACACACACACACCAGTCAGGAATCCATAGCAAAATTAAGATTTAGTGACACCTTGCAGAAAGAGGTTGTATGCAAGGATGAACAAAAAGATACTGATATATCTGATGCAATAATTTGAAGTAACGAATCTGGTTATGTCTGCAAATGTCTAATTGGTTCTCTCCACACATTTATTTGGACCCAGAATGATTGAATTTTACAGAGCTGTGTAATATGGTCATTCCATAAAGAAATGTTCAAAGTATGTCAAAAGCAAGAGCCAACTTATGCAGTGGAAGCTCAAACATAATTGTATCTAAACCCAAAAGCTCAAATGCTCTAGGATCTATGACTAGGGAGGCTTTATTTATTAAAAAAAAACTCATACATAGAAAACCTGAAGATCTCAACATCAGGTAAAGGAGTTTTGTCCTTAACGCTGCTCTGTTCAGAAGTTTATCAGAGTCATAAACCCTTACAGAAGAAATCAGATATATAACAGATGTAACACAATCTGCTTCTGTTCTTGCACTTGTTTATACTTGAAAAAATTATCATATTAATGCTGTCCTATAAAGGAGAGTAGAACAGAGTCGTCCAGCTGATAATAACCTCAGATACCAACCCAGGTTTGGACCATGGCTGATTCTTTTATTTAACCAGCAGATCTACTCTTCTAATAAATTAGAAATAGTATTGTCATTAAGCTCATAGGCTTTGGAGTTATGTAGACTTGAAATTCATATGAAATCCTAATTCTAGTCCACTTACTACACCAGTTCAGAAAAGTTACTTAATCTTTCAGAAGGCTGTTATTAAGATTAAATAAAATAGAATGCCCTAAATACTCAGTACAGTTCCCAGGACATAGTAGGCACTTAGTTAATTGTACCTATTATTTTTATCACTATAGCAGTATAATGAGATTAAGATATTTGCTGAATATCTAATAGTTTAGGATGACAACATACCTTTGAAATTAGAGAGATCACCCAGGTGCTTATTTTAAATGTGGCACAATTGCCACGTGTAACTGGAATAAAAACTATTTTATTCTATATCCACTCTTCAGACCCATCAGCCATAATCAGCAGATTGGTGTATTATTGAGGGATGGGAGCAGGGAGAACTAAAATATTTTCAATCAAAAAGGCATGACTTACCCCAGAGGAAAAAACAGAATAAGCTATTTGGAGTGGGAGAAAACAAAGAGGAACTTACACTGTATGATGTGAGAGGCAGTTTTGACAGAGTATAAAATTAGTGGGTGGCGGAGAACCTTAGAGGAAGCCTTGGGTTGCCAGAGGAGGAGAACAAGACAAATAGGGCAAAGGAGATGATTCAAAGAAAAATTAAATCTTGGGAAATTCTTTTTGAGAAACAAAACATTGGTTTTTTGAGTGCTGTGTCAGTATTGCAGACTGACAGCAGTGATGTTCTTTGAGAGATGTAAGTAAAACTTGGAATTACGTTAGTTAACATTTTGTTGCAGGACTGTCCTTCTACTGCAATGCTGTGCCAGATGTGGTCCACGGAGAGTCTTGGAATATGCTTGGTTAACACATATACAAAGAGTGATATGTTTAAATATGTACTGAAGGCTTACTGGGTTTCAGAAAGGGAAGACACACTGGAACTTTTGAGGCAGTCATGGGTGAGTTTATAGCACAGTTATTGAGCCCCTGCAGGCTCCCCAGCATTACAGTCACTGAGGAAGGTTTGACGTAGTCTGGCTGAGCTTGCACAATTTCTCCTTTAGACTTCTCCTTCTGACTAGATACTGCCACCAGTTGTTTTGTGGCACTGTGGGTTGGGGACAGAGGTGGACATTGTAGTTGAGGGCATGGGCATCTTTAGGAGAAAAATGTATTTAGGAAATATACTTTTATTTTTAACTACTCAAAAGAAATAAAGTAGTTCATTTGCATAAAAAGCAGAAAACTAATTCTATTAAGAATAGCAATTTTTTAGGTACTAGGAATTATTATTATTATATCAATTATAGCAACAGTTACCATGTATTGAGTAATTTAATAAATAAATATAATGATGGCCAAAGAGGATATATAACTTGCCAAAGGCAGCAAAACTAAATAAGTTGTAAAACTGGGTTTAAAATTTATGTTTTGTTTTCAAAGTACTTAACCATCATTCTATATTAACTTACATTCTATAAACCACCATTCTATATTACCACTATAAATATATACTGTATTTATAGTATATAATAAATAGATTCTGTAAGGTAAAAGATATAAAGAGGAAAAAAATTCTAATGCATACCCTTACTCCCAGACATAACTGCTGATAATATTTTGAGGTAACTGTATTTTCTTTCCTATTTTTCTTTGCTTCCTTTAATCTTTTTCAGTCATTTTTAATTATTCTGTTTTGCTTCTCTCTAAGCTTGCTCTCAATGAAATATAATAGAACAAGTCCTAATTTTCAAATACCAGGAGAAAATACCTTGTTATTTCCTCTAAATCACCAAATGATGACAGGGGGCCTTCAATCTACTTGTTCTGCCTTTTCTCTAAATCAGTCTGTTTGTTCTCTGACCTCCCTGAAACCACAAATCTCTGAATTACTCTTCTCTGCTCAGTGTCTGAGCTGCCTGTGCCACTAACTGCAGGTTCTCCCGTTGAACACATTGAATTAATCTCTCTACTCTGCCATATGAGTTAAGTGGCTTAACAACCTGACTTTTTAATAAAGCTAGACACACAGACCCCTCATTTCAACAAGACAAGTCATGAAATGCAATATTTACAAGTTAATCCCAATGACTTTGTTTACAGTTTCCCTAAAAAAACTACATGAGTTTTGAGGCACTGTGTGGGAACTAAATGGATCTGAATTTTGATCCCAGCCCTACACTCATCTAGCTGTGAAAATTACTTTACCTCGCTAAGCCTGAAATTTTATTACCTGGAAAATGAGGATAACCAAAAAATGGAAATTAATTTTTCAGGGCTGCTATGGGATTAAATTATAGACTGTATATAAAATACCTAGAAACAATTAGTGTTTAAGAGAAGTGAGTTCCCTCATCTCTAAAAATTATGTTGTGAATTAAATGTATTATCTTTTTTAAAAAATTAAAATAGTGTCATGATATCGAGAATAAAAATATGTACATCAAGGGATATTGAAGCATCATGGAGCTGTAATGATATATTACTATATTTTAAATAATTTAAGATTTTCTTCTTACTAAAAGCAATTAAGCATATGTAAAACTACAGAATGAACTTAGCACTTTCAAGATTCATGGTAAATGAATATCATGAAATAGCTAATTCAATATTTTATGCTTTAATTACAAAATTATTTTTATCAGAGCATATCATCAAATATAACTTTCAGCCACATAAACAGAGCTAAACATCATTAATCTGTCTTAACTATTCTTATAATGATATGCCTGTAGCTACATATTAGCTCATTTCCCGAGTACAGTTAAGAAAAATAGTAAAGGAAGCAAAATGATGGGGTCACATAAATTCCACCCAGTAAGACAAAATAAGACACAGACCTGCAGTCACAGAAAATGGGAATGGAGTAGGAAACAAATACAAACAGCAAGGTTATTTTTTAAACAGGGAGGTTAGTGGAAGGGGGAGGGAGGAATAATAATAAAGCAACACATTCTTCTTCTTATATACAAAAATGATATGTCAGATCAGTAATCCCAGCTATTCTTCTGCTGTGTGTATTTGCGGATTTGTCCTTTTAAAACATATATAAGGAACAATAATTAAATAAGTAGAAAGGGTTCAAATCATGGGTTCAGAAGAGATAAAAGGGCAGCAAAGCTCAACAAATAGACAAATAACAAAGAGGGAAAGAGTCTGTGGACACCTAACACTTAGATATTGTATTTTTCTTTGACAAACTTTGGCTGTGGTGTCATTTTGACCCACCTTAACCAAATAAAAGCAGCAGCAGATCAATTCACTGCAACACTAGAAAGCAGTACCCCCAGGTGAGTCATATGGGACACCTTCATGCTTAACCTGGCAGGTGAGGAGACCGAAACTTGCAGCATAAATGTAAAGGCTCATCGATCGAGTTCTCCAGGAAGATGCAATGACCCAAGGAAGAGGCTGGCAGGGCCCACCTCGCTCAGCTCAAGATGATTTCCCTCCCCAGCTCTCAGCTGATGTTCCCCCTTCATATTCTTGGTACTTCTGATACCAGCACAGGATATTTGCTGAGAGAGTGGTTCTGCCGCATGATATGGGTTGTGCCATTCATCCTACCGGCATCTGGGTGACAAGTGTGGTAATTAAGAATGGAAGAAATGCCAGTAGCAAGAGCAGATGGGAGTAAAAGACTGATTACTGGGCTAAGCAGTGGCTTGCCTTTCTGGTGAGGGCCTCTGCAGTGTCCAGGAGTTTGGCTTGTAATCAGGTGTGAGCAGAAGAGGCCACAGATAAATAAATGTCTCCTTTGGGGCAGATATACGATCTGTATTGCTCATTGTGGGGTGCAGTCCAGGCTGCTCTCATACCCCTGTGAATAGATGGCTCACAATAAAAGCTTAGCATTTGAGGTGAGATAACAGTGTGCAGGCTGCAGAAAGGAACATTTACTATGTAACCAGAACCTACAATGAGCCTCAAGGTGCTTTCTCCGGAGATATAGTAGTTCTGCACCCATGTCACAGCACAAACAAAAATGAGGAAAATTAGAAAACAGAAATCCAAAGAAAACGACCTCCCAGTGCTCCTGAAAACATCAAATACTTCAAAGGAAAGGAAAACACTTGAAAGGGTGTCAGAACTGTTTTCTCACTTGGGAAAAGAGCATATACTCAAGCCGAATATTAAAGTTTCAGGGAAGAAGGGACCAAATTTTACTTTGTTTTCTCTCTCTTCTCACCGTTTCTCAGCTTTAGTCTGAATTCAGTGGAGGAGAAATTTACTGCATGTTAAACAGAATCTCTTTTCTCTGTCAAGTTGTAAATTGCTTTGAATAGCTTTTCATGATTTTTAATTTCACCAACATGAAATTGGTCATTATTTACGGCTTATCACACCAGAGACAAGATTTCTGGATATACACGCTAATTTAGATGTAAAATAATTTATCCGCAAATAAAGATTTTCTTCCTAATTATGGGGAGATTTATCTTGGCTCTTTCAGGGTCTTACAAATAAAATGAATCCAAATAAGATTTTGTTTATTCAAATCTTAAGGAATCTAGAGCTAGAAAACAGTGCAATTCATAATAAGGTCTTTGATGTATACAGATTAATTCATTTACAGATTACAGGAAAACTGTATGAAATATGGATTCACTCAGAACATGAACATACCTTCCACCTAGGAACTGAGCTTAACATTGTCTGCAGGCAAGGGGATCAAAGGTCCTGGGCCTCTGGTACATTGTAGGTCATGTATTTGGTTTAAAGGAAGTTATTAGTGTAAATTCAGGAGGAAGAAATAAACTATGAAACATGGCATTTTCTTTCTGGCTGGCAATAAGTGGCCAGATTTTATTATAAAATTTGGCTGTCACCATGGGCCAGAGCTGGGTAGCAGTCAATGAATGTCATGCAGAGCACTGTGATTCTTCTTGCTGTTCAGATACAGCTTTCCCACAACATGACTTGTTAATAGAAAATTGGAACCTATGCATGCCATTAAACAAACACAGAATGGTGGCAGCTTACTTATAAGCATCTAGGTATTAAAATATTTAAGGCTTCAAAGAAAATGTCCCCAATGTCAGCTTCCCTAAAAATAGGAGATTCTATATTTATCCACACCCATAGATTTCTTCTTTGCAGTTAGAGAGGATAGAAGATTTTTAGATTCGTGCCTGTCAGTCTAAAAAGCTTCAGGAAAGCATTATTCATTGTCACAACTTGATGAGATCTGCAGCATTGTCTAATTGTGTGTATTAGTCCGTTTTAGAACTGCCCAAGCAAAAGATATGAACAGACACTTCTCAAAAGAAGACATTTATGCAGCCAACAGACACATGAAAAAATACTCATCATCACTGGTCATCAGAGAAATGCAAATCAAAACCACAGTGAGATACCATCTCATGCCAGTAAGAATGGCGATCATTAAAAAGTCAGGAAACAACAGATGCTGGAGAGGATGTGGAGAAATACAAGCACTTTTATACTGTTAGTGGGAGTGCAAATTAGTTCAACCATTGTGGAAGACAGTGTGGTGATTCCTCAAGGATCCAGAACTAGAAATACCATTTGACCCAGCGATCCCATTACTGGGTATATACCCAAAGGATTATAAATCGTATTACTATAAAGACACATGCACACATATGTTTATTGTGGCACTATTCACAATATCAAAGACTTGGAACCAACCCAAATGTCCATCAGTGATAGACTGGATTAAGAAAATGTGGCACATATACACCATGGAATACTATGCAGCCATAAAAAAGGATGAGTCCATGTCCTTTGCAGGGACATGAATGAAGCTGAAAACCATCATTCTCAGAAACTATCACAAGGACAGAAAACCAAACACCACATGTTCTCACTCACAGGTGGGAATTGAACAATGAGAACACTTGGACATAGGGCAGGGAACATCACACACCAGGGCCTGTTGGGGAGTAGGGGACAGGGGGAGGGATAACGTTAGGAGAAATACCTAATGTAAATGACAAGTTGATGGGTGCAGCAAACCAACATGGCACATGTATACCTATATAACACACCTGCACATTGTGCACATGTACCCTTAGAACTTAAAGTATAATAATAATAAAAAAAGAACTGCCCAAGGCTGGGTAATTTATAGAGAAACAGTCTTCACCTGACTCACAGTTCAGCATGGCTGGGGAGACCTCAGAAAACTTACAATCACGGCAGAAGGCAAAGGGGAAGCAAGGCTCCTTCTTCACAAGGCAGCAGGAAGGAGAAGTGCCAAGTGAAAGGGAAAGAGCCCCTTATAAAACCATCAAATCTTGTGATACTTCTCTCACTATCATGAGAATAACGTGGGGGAAATTTCCTCCACCTTGTCTCTCCCTTGACATATGGGGATTATAGGGATTATTGGGATTGCAATTCAAGATGAGATTTGGGTGGATGCACAAAGCCTAACCATATCATTGTGAAAATAATTTTAAATGAGAATAAAAGGATAAATTTGCCATTTAGTGGTAGCTCACATTTATTGAAAACATACTATATTCTAGGTACTGTGCTAAGAACTTCATATATATTGTCATACTTAATCATTAACCATTTAAATAACATCATATGGTTAGAATTATTTTTATCTTTATTCTATAGATGAAAAACAGAACAGACAAGTTAGGCAATTTGTTAGGTAACACAATAAGTGATGGAACTGGGGCTGGAATCCAGGTAGCCCCATTAGAGAGCCCATACACTTATTTCTGTGCATACTACCTCTAAAACTTAATCGAATTGAGGTTATATATTAGTAGATTTAAATTATCTGATTGTATCACCCAATACACATCTGTTAAGGAAACTCCTTACATTATACAAAAATATACATATACCAAGAAATGATGGTAATGTGCAATATCCCTTCCCCCGCAAAGAAACCAAACTCTACTTGACAAATTCATCCCCAGACATGGGGCTCTTGACTTGAGGTCCAGAAATGGTATTTAGGAGTTTATGAATTCCAGGAGTTATATGCAGAATTGAGGTCGATAACTTTCTTCATGCTCTCAGAGAGCTTCAGGATTCTACAATGGTAAATAGCCTCCAGCTGGGTCACCTGGGAAATTTGAAAAAGTGAAGAGGAAAAAGGGCACTTGAAGGTCCTAGAAGCTGCACTGGTGTATTAGTCCACTTTCACACTGCTGATAAAGACATACCTGAGACTGGGCAATTTACAAAAGAAAGAGATTTAATTGGACTTACAGTTCCATGTGGCTGGGGAAGCCTCACAATCATGGCAGAAGGCAAAGATGAACAAGTCACATCTTACATGGATGGCAGCAGGCAAAGAGAGAGAGAGAACTTGTTCAGGGGAACTCCTCTTTTTAAAATCATCAGGTCTCAAGAGACTTATTTGCTATCACGAGAAAAACATGGGAAAGACTTTCCCCCGTGATTCAATTACCTCCCACCGAGTCCCTCCCACAATACATGGGAATTCAAGATGAGATTTGGGTGGGGACACAGTCAAACCATATCATTCCACACTTGGGCCCTCCCAAATCTCATATCCTCACATTTCAAAACCAATCATACCTTCCCAACAGTCCCCCAAGGTCTTAAAGCATTTCAGAACTAACTCAAAAGTCTGCAGTCCAAAGTCTCATCTGAGACAAGACAAGTTCCTTCCACCTATGAGACTGTAAAATCAAAAGCAGGTTAGTTACTTCCTAGATACATTGGGGGTACAGGCATTGGATAAATATAGCCATTCAAAACGGGAGAAATTAGCCCAACAAAAGGGGGCTGCAAGCCCCATGCAAGTCTGAAATCCAGCAGGGCAGTCAAATCTTAAAGCTCCAAAGTTGTCTCCTTTGACTTCCACATCTCACTTCCAGGTCATGCTAATGCAAGAGGTGGGTTCCCATGGTCTTGGGCAGCTCTGCCCCTGTGGCTTTGCAGGGTATAGCCTCCCTCCCAGCTGCTCTCATGGGCTGGCATTGAGTGTCTGCAGCTTTTCCATGTGCACAGTGCAAGCTGTCAGTGGATCTATCTACCATTCTGGGATCTGGAGGACGGTGGCCCTCTTCTCACAGCTCCACTAGGTGGTGCTTCAGTAGGGACTCTATCTGGAGGCTGCAACCCCACATTTCCTTTCTGCACTGCCCTAGCAGAGGTTCTCCATGAGAGCCCCACCCCTGCAGCAAACTTCTACCTGGACATGAAGGTGTTCCCATAAACTTCTGAAATCTAGTCGAAGGTTCCCAAACCTCAATTCTTGAATTCTGTACACTCACAGGCCCAACACCAAGTGGAAGCTGCTAAGGCTTGAGGCTTGCACCATCTGAAGCCACAGCCCAAGCTCTATTTTGGCCTCTTTCAGCCCTGGCTTGAGTGGCTGGGACATAGGGCACCAAGTCCCTAGGCTGCACACAACACAGGGACCCTGGGCCTGGCCCACAAAACCACTTTTTCCTCCTAGGCCTCCAGGCCTCTGATGGGAGGGGCTGCCATGAAGACCTCTGACATGACCTGGAGACATTTTCCTCATTGTCTTGGGGATTAACATTCGGCTCCTCATTACTTATGCAAATGTCTGCAGCCAGCTTGGATTTCTCCTCAGAAAACGGGATTGTCTTTTCTATCACATTGTCAGGTTGCAAACTTTCCAAACTTTTATGTTCTGCTTCCCTTGTAAAACTGAATGCTTTTAACAGCACCCAAGTCACCTCTTGAATGCTTTGCTGCTTAGAAATTTCGTCCACCAGAAAACCTAAATCATCTCTCTCAAGTTCAAAGTTTCACAAATCTCTAGGGCAGGGGAAAAATGCCACCAGTCTTTTTGTTAAAACATAAAGAGAGTCACCTTTGCTCTAGTTCCCAACAAGTTCCTCATCTTCATCTGAGACCACCTCAGCCTGGACCTTATTGTGCATATCACTATCAGCATTTTTGTCAAAGCCATTCAACAAGTCTCTAGGAAGTTCCAAACTTTCCCACATTTTCCTGTCTTCTTCTGAACCCTCCAAACTCTTCCAACCTCTGCCTGTTACCCAGTTCCAAAGTCACTTCCACATTTTCAGGTAACTTTTCAGAATCACCCCACTCCTGGTAGCAATCTGCTGTATTACTCCGTTTTCACACTGCTGATAAAGACATACCCGAGACTGGGCAATTTACAAAAGAGATTTAATTGGACTTAGAGTTCTACGTGGCTGGGGAAGCCTCACAATCATGGCAAAAGGCAAGAAAAAGCAAGTCACGTCTTACATGGAAGGTAAAAGGGAAAGAGAGAGAATTCATGCAAGGGAACTCCTCTTTTTAAAACCATCAGATCTCTGAGACTTACTCACTATCAGGAGAACAGCAGAGGAAAGATTTGCCCATGATTCAATTACCTCCCACTGGGTTCCTCCCACCATACATGAGAATTCAAGATGAGATTTGGGTGGGGACACAGCCAAACCATATCAACTGGTGACCTCCATAAAGAGGATACAAAATAGCTGACCACTACTTCCCTGCAGAGGTTGTAGAGATATTACAATAGCTCATGCTTGCTTGGTATTGCCCAAGTCTCAGGCACTAAGCACTTTATATTTGTTAACCTGATTAACCCAGGCAGTCAGGTGTCAGAACCTCAATCTCTAAACCACTTTAGAATACTGCCTTGTGCTGATAAGGAGTTGACAGTGGGTGATGAAGAAGGGGAGAGGGAAATGAGTTATCAACTGATGATGATCAGTTACTGGGATCATTTGGCTTGATCATTGCCTCACCCTCCCCAGAGAGAGAGAAAGATTTATGCTCCTGTAAAACATTGTTGTCAAGTGGCAGCTAAAGGGCTGGCTGGGCTTATGGGAAGGCTGGAACTTGCAAATGAAGCATGGCAGCACAAGGGAGAGAAAAATAAGGGCCTGCTAAGGAAAAAGTGGGAATGGATAGGTGGAAATAGACTAGTTGGGAAATGTAACCTCAATGAAAACCAAGATTGAAACAAGTGTGTTTCAAATAATCACTGTAGATTTAGGCCTGAAGGCAAATGAGCCTGATTGAAGGTTTAAAGGAGGATGCAATCTCAGGTCGTGCTGAGAATGGGGTGAAGTGGAGGGAGGGATGCAGGAGTCCAGAGCAGAGTGATGGAGATGCTCTTGTTCAGAGGCCAGGGAGAATTTCTGGCAATTACATATTACGACATTTGCTCCCACAAACAGGTGATTCAAGAGCCACTTTCAAGAAGCCAGGAAATCCTCATATCTGGATGCAGGGATTCATCAGCACTAAGAAGCACCTGGCATATAAGCTGTTGTGTCTGATTTCTGTAGCCAACTGAAGACTGGTTACTTGCATGCTACTGTGCCTGTAAATGCAGTGACCTACCCAAGGTCACAAAGCCAATGTGTGATAGTGATATGGAGATTTGAACTGAGATGTCTCTGTCTCCAAAGTCTACATTCTGCCCTTGATACATCAATTCAAATGAGTCCTGGCTTCTATTAAATGTCAAAAGAGCACCCAACAGAAATATACAAAGCTATTTACACCAAAATAGTCATTATTGATCAGTATTGATCAGCCATTTCACAGTGTCTCAGCACTACCTATTTTCAAACCCCTGGGTGCTTAATAACAGTAAGTTTGGTGCTACTAATACATGTCTCATTTTGATTGTTTCTTGACTATTTTCTTCTAATGTCATTTAATTCTTTCCTTCTCCCTACTTTTGTAATCAGTTGTGTCATTAAACACAAAAACTCTTTACAGAGACGATTTACTACTATGGAATTTCAATTATACAATTATCACATAAAAAATCATCATGTGGCTCTTAAGGAATGGATATCTTTTTAAATTCTAATACAAATTTTAAGGAAAATGTATTATCAAAAAAAATCCAATTTCTTCCCTGGAGAAGTCTTCTCCTTAAGGTCCTCACACAGTCCTTATAGGCACAGTTTTCCAGTAAGCCCTGGAATAGCTCTTCTGATGAGCTTCACAGATTTATTAGCTTCTTTTTAGATTGGGTACACCATAGGTAGAGTTTTACATGAATGTGGCATGTAACTTCTATTCTGCCACATATTTTCCCTTTATTTTCTTCATTTCAAATGGTATATCAGCATACACACACACACACACACACACACACACACACATACAGTAAATTGTCCCTTAATGTCATTGATAGATTCTTGGGAACTGCAACTTAGGCAAAACGACATATAATTAAACCAAATTTTACCATAGGCTAATTGATGTAAACAAGAGTTAAGTTTCTATGGCATATAAACTAATCATAAAATCACCAAATTTTTAAAAACCAAAACACTTCTAATATTAAACATTGAAGTAAATGTGAGCTATATATACATTTAAGAAAGATGAGTAAAAACAAGATAAGGATTTACTCAATTGTTCCAGTTCAAGGCTGTGAGTAGCCAGAGCCTATCCTGGTAGTTCAGGGGATAAGGTAGGACCAGCCCTGAACAGGACACCATCCCATCTCACACACACCCCCACTCCCCAGACTGGAACCATGTAGACACACCAATTAATTTGACGTGCACATTTTTGGGATGGGAGAGAAAACCAGAGTACCAGAAGAAAACCCATGTTCACATGGGGAGAACATGCAAACTCCACACAGTGGCCCCAGTGGGAATTGATTTTTTTATTGATGTTATAATGAAATGATGTTAAATAAAATGACATTATTCTATGAATATACATATGTGTGTGAAGATGTGTGTGTATGAGTTCATTCTCATGCTGCAAATAAAGACATACCCGAGACTGGGTAATAAAGAAAAGAGGTTTAATGGACTCAAATTTCCACATGGCTGGAGAGGCCTCACAATCATGGTGGAAGACGAAGGAAGAGCAAAGGACTGTCTTACACGGTGGCAGGCAAGAGAAAGCTTGTGCAGGGGAACTCCCATTTATGAAACCATCAGATCCCATAAAATTTATTCACTACCATGATAACTGCACAGAAAAGAGCTGCCCCCCATGATTCAATTACCTCCCACCAGATTCCTCCCATGACATAGGGGGATTATTACAATTCAGGGTGAGATTTAGGTGGGGACACAGCCAAACCATATCAATGTGTGTTCATATACATGCATTTTTAAATGTTAGATAAAAGAGAAACAAAAATAAATCATCTATAATCCACCTGTCTACTGTGACCACCATTATGCATGTGGTGCCTCCTTTTTCCTTCTTGCCTAGTTTTTCAATTTGCTTATAGTAACACTAGATATTTACTGTTTGCTTTTACCTATTATGTTATAGTCTAAGTATTTTTTCACATTAATATATAATCTTCAAAGCCAGTATTTAAGGATCATATACTATGTTAAATGATTTATCATAATTACCTACTGAAGCCTCCACTTTATACAAGTTAGGTTATTTCTATTTTTATACTATAAACAATGTTACAAATATCTTCATGTACATGGATTTTTTAATATTTTGGCTTTATTTTTTCAGTTAATTATTCTAGAAATTGAAACAAAGAGTTAAAGGGCAAAAATCTTTTTATGCTGCTTACTATTACCGGGAAATAAAGGTTGCTATGAAAAACGGCCAGTGAGTTAAAGCTCACAGGAACCAGGATAAACGGTATGAATGTGTGATATAACAGAAAGAAATAATGCATTTGATAATAGGAATACAGGATGTTCACTACTGTGTGTGCATAAAGGCTAACTTGTGCTGAACTGTTTTGTGCAATACGATAAAGTTATAAATACAGTGAAAGGATGTCATACATAAGAGCCCTAACAGAAAAATAGCACTAAATTGCTTTCCTAAAGTGTTGTACCAATTTACAATTATCTCCAGAAATGAATGATGGTGGCAGTATTTTAGAACCGTTACAAGAATTATATAGTATCATTTTTTAAACCTTTGATAATTTAATGAGAACTACTGTTTTCATTTGCATTGATTTTATAGGTCAGCTGAACTTTTAACTACATATTGTTTTCAAAACACATGTTTATTGGTATTCTGCCATTGATTTTTTTCTAGGTGCATTCCTCTTAGAATCTACTTCTGCCCAGGCTCCCTCAAGTTAAACAAGAACCCATATTTCTAACCTTCAAGGGCTTTACTCTTATCTATGGTGATGTTTACATTTTATTTACATTGTCACCTCCTCACAGCATAGATCTTTTCTCTGGGTGTTTTGCAAACTGTTGCATAACACTTGTGATGCTTTATAAATAATAAATAATAAAAGTCCTGTAGCCCTCTTCCAGCAGCCTTTGATCAAGGTCATCTTTCAACTGACTTCACATGAGCAGACATGAAAAAGAAAAAGAAGGAACCTTCTTCTTGATGGTTTGGCTTTTTATCTGCAATGATCAACCAGGTTGCTGACAAGTAGGTGTCCAAAACACACCCCATACCAGCTCACAGTGAAACTTAATGTTCCTGGTGGATTCTTAGTTCAAGCAAAGCTCTGCATATCCAGGATGGCTGTTGTGAGATCACTCTTGAGTAGGTTAAAGGATGATATCCCTTGGTCTTGCCTCTTTATCAGGAAACCTTCATAATTTAAGAAGGTTCATATGTGTGGATGTCTCTGATCTCAGCTACTGCAGGTGGAAAGGGAACTGAAAAAGTGTTTAGGTTTTACTGTCAATTCTTCCACAACAGAGTTTGATCATAACTACTTGATGTGATGGATAGGTTAATTAGCCTGATTGCAGTAATCATTTTACAACATATATGTATATCAAACATCATGTTTCATACCTTAAATATTGCACACAATTTTTACTTGTCAGGTATGCCTCAATAAAGCTGAAAAAAACCATAAAACTTCAATTCATTGTTTCCCCAATTGAAAAAGAACAACAAATTTTCAGTTCAATGTCATGGCCAATTGTTTCAGGGATCAGTGGAAAAGAAGATACAGTAGAAAAAGGAAAAGAGACTACAGAGTGGAAGAAGAGGAGAGGAGAACTGAGGTAGACAGAACAAAAAAGTATTACTGAAGACAGAAAGGGGGAAAAAATCTAGTAAGGAATTAGATAGAGAACAGGATCCAGATAAGAGAACAGGAATCTCAGAGGTGAGTGTATGTTGCCATTCCATCTAGCTAGAGTGCTACGTTTCTGAATATTTGTGCTTTTCAAAAAATATATTTTGAAATATTTATATATCGTGGCATTGTGGAACTTTTTTTTTTCTCATATATTTTTTTTTAAGTTTTTTTTTCTTTTATTATACTTTAAGTTTTAGGGTACATGTGCACATTGTGCAGGTTAGTTACATATGTATACATGTGCCATGCTGGTGCACTGCACCCACTAACTTGTCATCTAGCATTAGGTATATTTATTCTCAGTAAACTATCGCAAGAACAAAAAACCAAACACCGCATATTCTCACTCATAGGTGGGAATTGAACAATGAGATCACATGGACACAGGAAGGGGAACATCACCCTCTGGGGACTGTTGTGGGGTAGGGGGAGCGGGGAGGGATAGCATTGGGAGATATACCTAATGTGGAACATTTTTAATGCATACAAAAGTAGGTAGAACAATTATAATAAAATTTATGGAGCTATTATTCAGCCCCAACAATCTGGGTTCATCTCTAGTCTGGGTTTATCTCTACCTTTATTCACTATCTGTATTATTTTCATTCAAATTCCAAACATTATATCATTTCAAATATTTCATTATGAAATTCCAAAACGTAATGTATTTTAAAATAACCACAATATCATTAACACATCTAAAATATAACACTAATCCCTGGTAACACCAAAGCATCAGTTTTCAAATTTCCAATCATCTCCTAAAAATCCATACGATTTTTCAAAAAAATTTTTAATTATGGGCATTGTTTTTTTAAATGTATATCCAAATAAGGACCATAGATATTGGTGACACCTTTTTAGTCTTTCTTAACCTGTGAATTCTCCTCCTAGTCCTTTATATTTTTTGCACTTTATTGTTGAAGAAGCCACTCATTTGTCTTGTAAGAATTTCCTGCAGTTTGGATTTTGCTCATTGCAGTCCCATCCTGTTGTTTAACATGCTTGTCACTCCTTCATATTTTCTAAGTTGGTAGCTGGACATAGAGATGTGATCAACTTCAGGTTTGATTATTTGGCGAGACTATTTCATAGGCTGTTTTGCCACCAGGATACATATAATGTTTGGTTGTCTCTAGTAGGTTGTTAGCAACTATTGATGATCAGTGGCTGTCTAGATTCATTAATTCAGTAGATTGCAAATAGTAATACTGTAATTTTCCAAACCCTTTATTCATTAGCTGAAAACTTCTAAAAAGAGCAGCTATTTAATCAACTTTTTAGAAATGTTGTAGAATAGTTCTAAGGGAAATGGTAGGGTAAATGTTTCATCATTTTCTTAATTTGCCAGGTTTTAAAATAAGAATTTGGTTCACTAACATACCCTAACAGTCACCAATGAGAGTGTTTTTTATGCATCATTATGAACTCCTGGATTTACTCATAATTGATATGTTTCAAAAAACTGTAATTTTTATCCTTATCTGTGCTCAAATTTTCCCATTTTTAGCCATGGGGAGCCTGTTGAAGTTTCTCTTCAGTCCTTTTGATCTGACTGTAAAGTCTTCGATTGCCTTTCTGGTAATCACAAGATGTGTCAAGTTCATCTTGTATATTTTCTGCCCCAAACCGGAAATCAGCCAATTCTCCAATAAGCCCTGGTTTCTTATAGTGAGAAATAGTATTTTAATAACACAATTGGGTGGTAAGAATCTTATCAATAATAAATAGTCATTTTTTTCTGGACCTTTTCAGTAAACAGATCTACAGAAAAATTATAGATATATGCAAGTTAAATTACATCATTAGTTCTTCCTTATATTTCAAATTTAAATTGAGAAGCACAGACATTTTACTCATACCTTAAATCTGTATCTCCCGTTGTCCCCTAAGAATCTCAATTTTTAAAAACACTGGGAATGAAAAAAGAATAGTACATACGTACTCATTTGTTTTATTCCACAACACACTGACACTACCGCCAATACTGACATTACCACCTAAAATACAATTACCGTAAATACTTCAATTGTTGTTTTAGTTATTTTCATTCTTAGGTTGTATTCCACTAGAAATGATGGTCAAATAACCGTGCTTTGAGGTCACTTAGAAGAGCTCTGTTCTATGTGGTTATACCACCAAGTGCATATTTACTTCACATTTTTTAGGGGTTGCTTTTTTAAAAAATTAATTTTTGTTTTGTAATTATGCAAAATAGATGAATAGTTCCAAAGTCACATCTATAAAACAAAGTATTTAAATAAGTCTAGCTTTTATCCCTGTCCCCTTCACTCTATTTTTTTTTTCCTGCTAGGTAACCTTTTGGTAATTTATCCTTTTCTCTTTAAAAAAAAATGCTCACATTCCCTTTTTCATCAGATTAAGTATTCTATACAAATAGTTCCTCTTCCCCCAACCCCCCTACACACACGGTATATTCTGGAGAATACTTCACAGTAGCATATGAGTTTTTCTAATTCCCCTATGGTGTTCCACAGAACTTAGTTAGGTGGATGTATTAACACCATAGTTTATTTGCCCAGCCACCCCACTCTACCCCCGCCCTTGATGGACTTTTGTGCTGTTTCCAGTCTTCTGCTAGCACAGATAATTCTGGGATGACTGGATTTAGTCATGCGTCTTTCTGAATTTTTGCCAGTATACTTTTGGAATGAAATTCTACAAGGTTGGTTGTTGGGCATCTTCGATCATTAGGGCTGCTATACCAAATACCATACACTGAGAAGCTTACAAAAAAACATAAATGAATTTCTCACAATTCTGGAGACTGGGAAGTCCAAGATCAAAGCACCAGTAGATTCAGTGTCTGGTGAGGGCCCACTTTCTGGCTCGCAGATAGCATCATTTTTCTGTGTCCTCACATAGTGGAAGGAGCAAAGCAGCACCCCCAGGCCTCCTTTATAAGGGCACTAATCCCATTCATGAAGGCTCCACCCTCATGACCTAATCACTTCCCAAAGGCCCCACCTCCTAACACCATCACCTTGTGGATTAGGATTTCAACTATGAGTTTGGGAGGAACATAAACATTTGGATCATAGCACCGGGCAAAATGACAAGTGCATTTGTTCTTTTGCTTGGTATTGACAAATTCCCCTATATAGGGTTTGTATCATCTTCCATTCCCAATACAGTATATGAGAAAATGTTTCCTCACAGCTTGCCAAAAGATTATGTTGTCTAACGTTTAAGAGATTCCAAATCTGACAGGTAATAAATAGTACCTCAGTGCAGTTTTAAATTGTATATATATTGTGATGGGTGAAGTTGATAATCTTTCATCTGATTAAGAGAAATTTGCATCTCTTTCTCTTAACTTTCTGTTCATTTCTCGAGTCTATTTTTTTGTTTTTAGAAAAATTTCATATTAAAGATTTTGGCCTTTTGTCATATAAATTTCAGATATTTCCCAAAATTTGTCTTTTTCCTTTATTTGTTTTTGAGAGTGAGTATCACTGTGTCACCCAGGCTGGAGTGCAGTGGTGCGATCTTTGCTCACTGCAACCTCCGCCTCCCAGGTTCAAGTGATTCTCCTCCCGCCTTAGCCTCCCAAGTAGCTGGGATTACAGGCACCTGCCACCACACCTGGCTAATTTTTGTATTTTTAGTAGAGACAGGCTTTCACCATGTTGGCCAGGCTGGTCTCAAACTCCTGACCTCAGGTGAAACCCCTGCCTCGGCCTCCCAAAGTGCTGGGATTACAGGCATGAGCCACCATGCCTGGCCTTCCTTTGTTTATAGTGTCTCCTTTGTCATGCTAAAGTTTTTACTGTAATCAAAATTATCTCTCTCCTCTGCTTCTGAATTTTGAATTATGATGGGAATGTTTTCCCTGTTTCCGGGTTATAGAGGAATTCATTCATGTTTGCTCCTAGCACTTATATTGATTCTGTTTTTTATCCTAAATTTTATCTTCTTTTGGAGTTTTTTTCCTGCTAATGATATGAAGGATGAATTGAAATATTATTTAAAATATACATTTAATTATGCCAACACTTTTATTATATGTTCTATTTCTCTCTCTCTTAAGTATATTTTTTGGTATATAGGAGACATTGTATTTTTGTCCCAGTGGTTACTTTTATACTAATATTTTTATTCGTCTTCCTTAACTCTTTTTTGGTTATTGTCTAATAATTTCCCCATAATAAATAATATTGAGATTAAGTTGCAGCCCCTTCTTCTCCACCCCCTCCTTCTTTCTGAGCATCTGACTTGAGGCAATATCCTTTTACTTTTCATTAATAACCATAAGGCAATGAGCAATCTTATTCTCCTTCTCAAATGCTCTCCCTACTCCTCCCTACCCTTTTTTGGATATTGTTCATAACCTACATAGTCTAGCCTCATGGCTCTGCCTAATTTATGGGGGAATTTAGAGAGACTCAAATATGACGCTGCTCCTACTGCCAGCTTCCTAGGATTCCCCCACGTTTATTCTTTTTTGACTAATTTAATTTTTTGGCTGCTCTAAACAGTAATCTCCAAGGGATCAGTTTTGGAATTTGTAGAGCTGTCCTGGTCATCATAGTTATTAAGAAGTCCTCAAGGCATTTAGTGGACTGAGGCCAATGATTCTAGACAATCCACAAATCATAGAACAGTCCCATACAAAAAGACTTTTCCCATCTCCCAAAGAATTTTGCATGACCTATACATGTAAGTGAAAAAAAAAAAAAGATTATTTTCCAAGCTTGGAATCTAACTGTATTGCATATAAGTTCAAAGTATTTTTGTATAGTTTCAATATATACTGAATTTCCAGGAATGCAACTACCATATAA
Organism: Homo sapiens; assembly: GCF_000001405.40. Taxonomy (NCBI): domain Eukaryota; kingdom Metazoa; phylum Chordata; class Mammalia; order Primates; family Hominidae; genus Homo; species Homo sapiens. The sequence continues at coordinate 109,725,376 of NC_000011.10, forward strand.
CTTGAAAAAAATGCTATACTTTGTTTTCTTTGGAACTTTACCAAGAGTTTTTATCATTTGACAAAATCCTGTCACTGATAACAATGCCACTCACGGTATTTAAGTCACCAATGCAACAAATTTGCATCAAAGTACATTTATAGCTTTTACATTCACAGCAATTTAATTATGGATAAAATTTATTTCAGGATAGTATGTATTACAAAATACATGTTTCTAAAATATGTCAGGCTGTAAATCTGATATGATTGATGATTAGGGATCTGGATGATCTTGAAATCCAAAGAATAAGGAAAGAAGTTTTATCTTTGGACCAAAATAGCTGCATCAACAGTGGTGTTGACCCAAAGGTGAGAACTGCATAAAACTCTGAGGGAAAATGTCTTGTTCCTATCCTTGGCAGAAGCAAAGCCCTTTAAAGAGTGGCCTCATAGGAAGGCTTGCTCTCAACCCACCTTCTGCAGAGGAGCAAGGAGAAATAAAATAATTACACAGAAAATGTTAAGAAACAATTGTAAACCAGTTAAGCATGGATTATCCACTGGCTAGATAATCAGGTTGTATGTATTGACCAATTTATGTAATCTAAGTCGTATCTTTATTTACGGAATGCCATAAGCCAAACCTCATTCATCCAATAAAGCTAAGGCCTTTACCAAGCACCTAATTGTACATGGCACTGTGTTAGATACATAAAAGAAGAATGAAATGGACAAAATTACCTTTGCACCAGGTTCTTAAGTAGCTACATTTAATTAATAATTTGGCTGCTTCTAGTTAATAATTTGACTGCTTCTTGCTCTGTAAGTGTAGATCACGTGAGAATCCGAGCAAACCTGATTTAGCAAACCAAGCCAACCTGATTTGCACTCCTCTTGTTGGCTTCCAGGCTGACATTGCTCTGAGTCAGTCATTCCCCCTGGGTCATAGACAAGAAAATACTCAGCCAACCCAGTAAGATAGAACATTCATTTGAGTAAGAAAAATGCTATTAAGATTCCCATCACAAGTGGCTAAGTAGAGTGTGATGTTGTTGGTAAATGGAGACACCAATGATGGATGATCAGTTTGCATTTACTGTGTAGCTCCAGTTGATAGAACCCAAAGGACAGTCCATTTTCAATAGGATTTTGCCCTTGGAAGCAACACAGTGCATTTACTTTATGATCTCTTCATAGTTTTCTGACAGCTACAATTTATATAGTACAAAACCCTTGAAATATATATCTAACATACTTTAGAAAAATGTTTCCAGTAGTTTAGTGGTTAGCAATGGGATAGTCCTCCATTCTTGGGAATGATATATTTTTAGTTATAATGGGTAGAGTGTTCTGTGATATATGATCTCTCTTCAGGACAACCAGCTCCCTCAGGTAAATTTATTTATTTCTATATCCCATCACCTAGCATTGTAGACATGCATTAAATGTTCATAGAATTGAGATAAATGTAGAATTAATTAGTAAGTTGGAGAAGGTAAGGAAAATCCATAAAAAGCGTCTATTGCTGATGGGCAGAGATGGTACCCTGAGACAACTACCTATTTAACAAATATCTATTGAAGGCTGACTTAGCTGTTGTTTAGTTCACTTGCATTTGAGATATCTTGGTTGTAGCTACCAAAAATGCTAATATAAAAAAGCTAATTAATACAGATTTGTATGTCAAACATTATCGTCATACACATTATTTCTTCCAACTATCACAATTACTGTGTAAAATAGGACATTTATATATTATCCCCAAAAAGCTTAGGAAGAGTAAGAGATGTACCCAAGTCCCCAGTGAACTAATCATTAGATGGGAAGATTAGTGAAAGTCATTGGAGTTTGTAGGGGAGAGGAACCTGCAGACACTATACTAACACCAAGCACTTTACAAATGGCGTGCTCAACTCAGCTTCGTGAAGAGGGTATTAGAACTTCCATATTACAAATAAGAGTAACAACGGGTTACGATCTTTGCTTCAAATCACAGAACTGTACATTGATAGGCCCAGAACTTGGCCTCAAGTCTGACTGGCTCTATTCCTATGTTCTGCTTGCTATGCCATGCCAGAATAGATGCGAGGGGCTGACTCCGGACATAGTCAATGCCTCATTTTCTTGCTCTTTTATTACATTCTTCTTGCTTTTATTTTTTAAACATATTTATCCTTTCATAATTTTTAAATTATTTGAGAATTTGTCAAGGGAAAAATCACCCAATACTATTTAATAGAATTGGATTAAATGCTGATAAACACAAAAATGTTTGACTTTGCTGTCCCTATTTCCTGAATTGTAATATCATCTCCAGATATAGTAACCTTGAAAGCTTGAAAGGCCTGAAATCTGAATAATTATCCTTTCTTTTTATGGCTTTCTCCCATCCCACCCTCTAACTTCTGGATTTAGAATACCTCTGCCATTGCCTTGGCATCTTTCTTAACATTCCAGTAAGGACCCAGACTTCTCTGATATACAAAATGTAGGTAATCTGGCTGTTATAAAGCAAAACCAAGAACTCCTATAATTTGACGTGGTGCAACTGTGCAACATGGTTACTAGAAAATAAAGATAATGAACTTCTTGAAGAAAATAAGTCTTGAAAGATATCCCCCATTATACTTCATTTATGGGTGAAGGAGACCAGTGGGAAGATAGCCAGGAAGTAGAGTGGTGGTAACTTAGAAGCCAGATCAGCTGTAAGACCTATGAGAACTGTGAGTAGAGGGCAGACAGTAGGAAACCAAATCAGAACTAGTGGTCAGAGTCAGGCACTTCCTGGCTGAATCCTGATTGGCCTGTATAAGGGAATTCACATTGGTTAGTCAGTGCATAATTTTTGAATGTCCAAAGCAGTTGTCAACTTTAGTGTTTACCTAAGAGCTCATTAAGATTCCAGAGTGTCAATCTCTACTGACTGGAATCATTCACTCCTGGGTGCTTCCTCAGCTGAGTCACACTAAAATGTTTACTTTCAAAGGTCATGGCTTTCCGGTCTCAATAAAACAACCATAAGTGAAAATAATATCCAATAAACTTGATAACATACAACATTCAAGTCACCTAAGAGTTGTCAAGCATTTCCAGCATTTTAGAATTGCCCTTACCATTAATAGTATAATAGAAATGGCTAAGTCTCCCACTCGACATAGAAGAGAAGACCTAGTGTCTGCTTCATCACTTCCTCCAATATGGACAGGCATTTATTTTTTCACAAAGTGCCTGGATTTCAGATGGGTGCAGTGGCTCACGTCTGTAATCCCAACACTTTGGGAGGCCGAGCTGGGTGGATCACAAGGTCAAGAGATTGAGACCATCCTGGCCAACATGGTGAAACCCCGTCTCTACTAAATATACAAAAATTAGCTGGGCATGGTGATGCATGCCTGTAGTCCTAGCTACTTGGGAGGCTGAGGCAGGAGAATCCCTTGAACCCGGGAGGCAGAGGTTGCAGTGAGCCAAGATCGTGCCACTGCACTCCAGCCTGGTGATAGAGCAAGACTCTGTCTCAATAGCTCTTAATTGTTTTCCTAGATCAGCATTCTCAAACTTTATGTTTCAATGAAATCACACGGAAGACTGCATTCAAAATGTCAATGGATTATTCAATAGCTCTGAGATGGCCCTTAGGAATCTGAATTTTATAATAATCACTGTTGTGGGTTGAATTGTACCCTCCAAAATTATGTTGAAATCCTAACCTGTGCTACCTATGAATGTCACCTAACTTGGACAGTCTTTGCAGATGAAAATTAAGAAGAGATCACATTGGAGTAGATTAGACCCTTAATCCAGTTTGACCAGTGTCCTTATAAGAAGAGAAGAGACACAAAGACAAGAACACATAGAGAGGAGAACATCACAGATGCACAGGAGAAAAGGCCATGTGCTAATAGAGATAGAGATTGGACTTATGCAGCTGCAAGTCAAAGAATGCCAAGAATTGCCTATCATCATCAGAAGCTAGAATAGAGCGTGGCCCTGATATGGACATGAGGCAGGGAAATACTGGGTAGAAGAGGGCAGTTCCTGGGAAGGCCTCACACTCAAGTCTGGAACCACAGCCCAAAGTGAAAACTTTACATCCCCATTTTCCCACTCTAATGTTGCCTTTTCCAAAATTACCTTGGCCCACACTGCCCCCATCCTGTACCCATAAAAACCCCAGGCTCCACTGGTGGAGGAGCAGCAGAGAAAGAGAAGAGAAGCAACAGGCAGACATCAGAGAAAAGCAGCTTGACTTCAGAGGGATGGCTTCATACCAGGACTTTGGAGAAGAGCCTGACCAGGGACAGCCAGACTGGAAGGGAAGACCACCTTCCTGCCTGCCCCATCCCCTTTCCAGCTCCCCTTCCCACTGAAAGCCACTTTCATTGGCAACAAAATCCTCCATATTTACCACCCTCCAATTAGTTCATGTGACCTGATTCTTTCTGGGTGCCAGACAAGAGCTCAGGAGGCATGGCTGTGGATGCTTGAGTTGTTTAACACTTAAGCCATCTGCAGATGGCAAAACTAAAAGAGCACTGTAACCCTCTGGGGCTCCAGCGGTCATGGGTACACCACCAGATGCTGCTGTGGGGCTGCACAGAGTTCTGTTCCTGTCAGCACCCGGAAGCTCTGATCCTAGCTGCTGCACACACTCACCTGCAGGCTCACACTCCGCAGGGGTTAAGAGCTGTGGGCTAAGTAAGCAAGACACACCTGTCACAAGTACTGCGAAGGGATCAGGGAAAATTTCCTGTTTCAGCCCTGGTGGCACCTTAATTTTAGACTTCTAGCCTCCAGAACTATGGAAGAATACATTTCTGTTGTTTTAAGCCACCAAGTCTATGGTACTTTGTTACAGCAGCCCTAGGAAATTAACAAAATCACTTATTCCCCTTAGTAATTCTGATGTGAATCACCATATCCCAGGTCCTATTCTACCGCCTTCAAAAAAAAAATCACCCCAGAAAGATGTATGCATTGTCTGAATTGAGGTTTGAACACTGATCCTCCTGTCTCTCATTCCTGGGCTTTGTTTCTGCTGCACCAGGCTGCCTCTCATCCATTAGCCTATTTTTAGTTTTCCATAGTCTTCTTGTGTGAACTGTGACAGGGTTAGAAAATTATTCTTTATCGTAACTTTTTTAACACTTAATGTTGTACTATGAATCTACCTTGTTTGCTGATGACTTTACTGAAATAGAAATGGCCAAAAATTATGCTCTTTGAAAGCATACAAACATAATTTTATAGCGTCAGAGACTGTGACTGCTATAAAATTGTTTGATATTAACCACACAATTAAATCTTTTCTTTTAGAAAATTTCTAGGAAATGAGGCAACCACAGAGGTTAATTGGTATCATGTTCGTAGGTGCTTTTCCCCTTCAAATCTATGTAAGTTGGGCTGCAGAGTTTTGGATAAGAAGGCAGTTAAGACACATTGGTGTAGGGATGTGGGTTGAAGGTATAATTAGTGATAATCATCATTTCCACCTCCACATTTACCTGTCAGAGATCAGGGAAGAGTTACAGACAGCAATGAATTCAGGTCCCCTGAGCCCAACACACCTTATGAATCCAGATTCATTGAAAGGTCAGAAAGATGGGCTCTTATTTATTCTCATTGCTCCATAGAACACCATGAAAACGTTACACAACATTCTCTTTCCTCCCCTAGAGGAGTAAAGAAGAAAAAATTAAAATCAGGGATCTTTGTATGCAATCCCAAACCATTCATTCATCCAAAAATCATTTCTATAATTCAGGAACTGTGATGAGGATAAAAGATGAGAACATAAAGTCCTTTTTCTCATGTTTTGACATTCAAGTGGGGGAAATAGCCACATGCACAGCTGAAATAACAGAATTGTATGTACTGGAATAGAAATATAAGACAAAAATACAGTGGAAGATAGGTTACAGGGAGGCACCAAAGAAAGCTCCAAGAAGGGGTAACTTTTAGGTAGAAACCTGAAAACAAGAACCTGAAGGGCCAAGAAGTTCAAGGTTGGGAGGAAATCGAGGCACTTTAAAGCAAGGCAGTCTGATAGAATTTTGCAATGATGAAAATGTTCCACATCTGAACTATCCAATACATGAGGCTACTGAGCACTTGAAATGCGGCTAGTGTGACCAAGGAACTACATGTTTAATTTTACTAATTAGTTTAAAATTAAACATTTAAATCACATTTAACTAGCCAGTGACTACCTTACTAAACAGCATAGCTTTACACAAAAGAAACAATATGGACAAAAACCACAGGATTGTGAAAGTGTTCCTGAAACACCAGGGGTTTGGTCTAGGTCTTGCTGCTTGCCGCACAGAAAGCCAATCACGGAGACAACAATCATTGCCAAGAAGAAATGTTCTCACTCATAGGTGGGAATTGAACAATGAGAACACATGGACACAGAAAGGGGAACATCACACACTGGGGACTGTTGTAGGGTGGAGGGAGCGGGGAGGGATAGCATTAGGAGATATACCTAATGCTAAATGACAAGTTGATGGGTGCAGCACACCAACATGGCACATGCATACACATGTAACAAACCTGCATGTTGTGCACATGTATCCTAAAACTTAAAGCATAATAATAAAAAAAAAGAAGGCTTTAATTGGGTGCTGCAGTGAGGAGATGGGAGATCAGTCTCAAATCCATCTCTCTGACCAAATAAAATTATGGGTTTATATAGCAGGGAAGAAATGTAACTACACATGGGAAAACAGGAACTAGGGAGGGGAAAGGAAGCAATCATGATGAATGAGAGGCCTGGAGTCCCATTTTCTGGATGTGGTTACCAGTGGGTTTCAGTTCTTTGATCCTTTTTGAGAGGCCTGGGGGTCCTTTCCTGAGGAAGGAACTCAAATAAAACAAATAGAAGTTTCAAGCTTTAAGACCAGAAGGGTCATTTTCTATGTTTATCCAAAAAAACTGTCAATGGGGCTATTGGGTCAGTTTGAATAGCAGGGCTCATTGTCACAGAGAAGCAGGTGTTTATGGGGATGAGTACTAGACATTGACAGGAAAGGGGAAAGTGGAACGGGGTAGGGCCAAGAATGTTGGTTGGAGCCAGATTATAAAAGGCCTTAAATACTAGTAACATACCAAAGAGGCTGGACTTTATCCTTCAGGTGATTGATGCCCTGAAAACACTTTTGAACATTTAAGGTAATTACACTGGCTTTGGTTGGCATTTATAGTTATTTAGTATTTGGAGTCATACTGAATATATATATATATGGTGAGGGGGCTAGCACCATTTGTGTTGTGTTTTTTCCACCCTAATGACAACTCTAGAATTTCAAAAAGCAGAATACAAAGTTTATAGGTAAGATTTTTTTCTTCTCTTTTTGAGACGAAGTTTCGCTCTTGCTGCCAAGGCTGGAGTGCAGTGGCTCGATCTTGGCTCTCTGCAACCTCCACCTCCCGGGTTTGAGTGACTCTCCTGCCTCAGCCTCCCGAGTAGCTGGTATTACAGGCACCTGCTACCACACCCGGCTAGTTTTTGTATATTTAGTAGAGACGGGGTTTCACCATGTTGACCAAGCTGGTCTTGAACTCCTGACCTCAGGTGATCCACCCATCTTGGCCTCCCAAATTGCTGGGATTACAGGCGTGAGCCACCGTACCCAGCCCCGATTTGTTTCTTTATACTTCTTCCAATATATAAATACTTTTAAGTTGTTAAACAACTATGACATGTGACAAAAGCCTCATTCAAGTGTTTTTCTATGTTATAAACCCATCAAGAGCATGGTATACATAGATTTGTTAATACAAGGAATTGAGCTACAGTTGGTTTTCTCTCTAATCTTTACATAGCACCTGGCCCAAGCACACCTCACATATTAATAATGAATATGGTTTTTTTGTGAATTGTGAGAAGAAAGCTTTGGACTGATAACTATTCTCCTTCCAAAATCAGTCTCTCACTTGCCTTCACTTGGACATACCTTCTAGCTCTGTTTTTAAAAGAACCAGTCATGAGTATGGAATGAAGTAACAAGGTTTAGAATAAATATGTCATATCAAAGATTCATAGCACTGCACAAGCTGACTCAGGAGCCAGACTGAACCAGCCTGATACATATCCCAGTCTGCCATTTCCAAGCAGTGTGCACATTGGCCAGTTATGTAGCCATTTTCTGTCCCAGCTTTCTGAGATGGAGATAATTGTGCTTAAAAGATTGCTCCAAGAATTGTGCGAGTTAACATATGAAGAGTTAGCTTGGTTTCTGATTCCTGCTAAATGCTCAATACCTGTTAACCATTGTGATTATAATTCCAAGCTGTCTTGAATATCCTGTCTGATCATGGCTTCCAAGGCTCTAAGAGATGTATTTATTAATTGTAATACTTGCTAATACTTAGATTCAACTATATGCAGGTGCTTTACCTACACTATCTTATTTTCACATCAACTTTGTAAGGCAGATACTGTAACTTACACTTTATAGATAACTTTTTCTTAATCACTAAGGTAGTAAATGGCAGAATGATGTTTAAAATCCTGCTGAGAAGTCATCAGTGCCTAGGTGCTAAATGGAGCCACCAGCACAGCAAAGACTGACCAAGGACAATGTGTAGGATAAGAGAAGGGGCAAGTACTCCAGAGTGAATAATAAATTTCAAGGAGTGAACATGAAGAGACTACACCAGCAACAAAAAGAGATTGGTCTTTTACTGGAAAATGGCAGACAATTTCACACCCCCTCTATGTTTGCTACGTAACCATCCCAACTGTAGTCTCCAGAAGGCATTCTGTACATAGCTAAACTGCACACAGTCTTCATTGCAGCAAAAGTAAATTTTATTCAAAACTTGGCCACATATTTTAGAAGGTAACAAGCTACACTTTTTGTGTCAGAGAACCAGTTGAGATTTACAGGTCTTCTCTGCCTGGTTTTCTACCGTAGAAGTGGCATCCGACTCCACTTAATCCTGGCGTGTTGTTTGCCAGGCTTCGAACTCTAGGTATGTATTTCCATTCCAAGATTGTTGCATTGGCATCAGAAATTCATTTATTCTAGCTGAGCACTCCTTCCCTTAGGCTGCCTAATAGTTCTACCGCACCAGGAGAGACTTGTGTTCTGTAACTGCTCTATTTCTGAGCAGTTGTTCCACAAAGAACAATGCAGCCATTGTTTCCACTGCTTTTCCTAGTCAATACATATGTCTTCCTTATAATTAGATAGGTTATTGCTATTATTTCTTATGCTCTGTAAAGATATTCATTGCCATATATAACCAGTCTTTGAAAAGAGCGTTATAAGCAGTTCCCTGCTGCTATTGCCTCGCTAGAGAACTGCAATGCACCAAGTGAATATGAATAAGTTTCAGCTCTGATGGATTTCCTTTGTGTAAGCAGGGATGCATACCAAGTGACAGCTCAAGGATTGCTGGGAATGTTTCAGAATTCCAGTTGGGGCCTATGTGAGTATGGTCATAGCAGTGATGATTGATATTTTGACCTGCCAAGCAGCTTGGCAGTGTCTCATGAAACATGCTCCAGAGACTGTCTAACAATGTTAAACCTCGTGACTTTGTATTCTGTAGGAACATGACCTGAAATGGCCTCATAAATCAGAGATGCTTTTTCCAATAGCTCTGAGACAGAAAAGAAGAAAAAGATGTTTTGAGTATATTTGTGTAAGGCTATCCTAGAAGTGTCTTAGAATGGTATCAGTGTCTTTTTGAAACGTATACACTCATATACACAGACTACCAACAGTCTTAAAAATAAACACTGGGTCATTTTATTTTTTATTTTTTTTCCTAATTACTATAGTCTTTCCATTTTAGTGTGATCTGTCTCTTCTGTTTCATTGTGATTAAACATACATACACAAATGTTCTCATTCTTGAGTTACCCCCACAGTCTTAACACTGTGGCCTGCACATAGTGGGTACTTAATCCAGTGAGGCAATACCCTTGACAAAGATTCAGAAAGGCACATGCTGTCGTCACACTGTAGTGAGACTGGGCCACAGATGGATGATTCAGCCATGGTTAGCCTGTGTGTGAAACAGCAGGTGGCCATAATTTAAATGGGTTTGACAGACTGACACATTGAAAATGTTTTAGGACAAAGTGGAGTTTATGACAAGATTGACATCTGATTGTAGTTTCATTTTATTGGTCCGTCAACTGCAACACCACTAATGCAGATGCATTTAACTCAGGAAAACTTTGAGGAGCCTTTCTCTTCTTATTGATGTCAACTTAAACATATTAAAGTGAGAAAGTTTGAAAAATTGGACATGACTGTGTCTTCTACTCTAGACACCACCTACCTGTTCTTCTCTGATTATTTTACCATAGCCATGGATCCCTTGGGGACCATTTTTGAACTTTCAAATCGTAGTCTATCTGCTACCCTTTTCTGAATATCGAACATCTTTAAAAAGTTTAAAGTTTTCCTACATTTTGTTTTTACTTGTATCAATGTACATGGCCTTTTTTTAGAAAAATTGTATAGCAGTTATATTAATAGGCACGTATATAAACATATATACATATATTTAAAATATATAATACACACATATACACTTACAGAGAAACACATTTAACTCAAAGACATTAGAATTTACTGTTCACCAGTGAGAACGCATGGACACAGGGAGGGGAACATCACACACTGGGGGCTGTTGGGGGCTGGGGGGCAACAGGAGGGAGAGCATTAGGACAAATACCTAATGCATATAGGGCTTAAAACCTAGAGGACGGGTTGACAGGTGCAGCAAACCACCATGGCACATGTATACCTATGTAACAAACCTGCACATTCTGCACATGTATCCCAGAACTTAAAATAAAATTTAAAAGAAAAGAATTTACTGTTCACTTTTTGCCACTGTAATTTTAGAATGGTAACATCATCTTGAGTTAGCTGATTGGAGAGTGTTTATGCTATGCCTAACATGATATAAAAATAATCATTCCAGAGAGAAATATATATATATAGGCAGTATATATATATATATATATATATATATATATATATATATATATTTCAACTAGTTATTATATACAACAAAAAAGTTTGATTACCTCTGACATTTTGTGTGTACAATATCATAAATGGATTTAAAATAAATATGAGCTAATTTCTTTGACCTATATTGTGGTTAAGAGCTCAAATAAACCTGTCCAAGGACAGATGGACCTTCACAAAGGGGCCAGTGATAAGCCATGTAATAGTGGTCCTGCTTGTGATGAATACATCCCCCTGAGAAAGACTGTGAAGAGAGATGAAGAATGGATTTTCTTAAGATGGTCAGGGGAGATATGTTTCCCCACTTGAAAGGGAAATACCAGGGTGAACAATATTTTTAATGCTAAATTTTACTTATTGTTTATTTATCAATAATTATTTCTTGAGCTCCTACTATATGCTAGGCATTGTAGAATGCTGAGATGAACAAGACATTGCTTCTGCTTACAAGAGCTACACTAGCAAACTATAGCTGTGCACTAAATGTAAACATACAGTAGGGTTCTACACCATCAGGAACTTGAACTATGACTGAGCAATATGACAAGACCTTGAAAGAATCAGTGTCACAGGACACTGGTGTGAACGAGAGGTTTTATAGAAGGTCAGAGAGCATCCAGATTGATGAGGAATGGAATGGCTGAGGAAGATGTCACTGGAGGTGGGGCTTGAGCTGGACTTTGAAGATGGGTATCATTTGGACCAAGAAGAGAGGGAAGGTCATTTGAGGCAAGGAGAGGGCAAGAATAAGGACATTGAATCAAAAATGAACATTGTATGTTTGGAGGACAGAAAAAAGATTAATGTGGATGAAATATAGGAATGCAGTATGAGATGAGGTTGGGTGAGAAAAATGGCACCAAAAAAGGGAGGCCTTCATGATATGCTCAGAAATTTAGACTTGATTCATAGGCAATGGAAAGTTGCTCAGTTTTCATCTGAGTTGAGACTTTACAAACTCTGTATTTTTGCCTGCTTTGTGATGACTGCATTGCTTAAGTAATGATTTCAGATTAAAGAAAGCATTAAAAATTAAATTAACCATATTTACTCTGTTATGAAAGATGTGAGGAGGAAAATGTCTGAAGACAATGGCTACGGTGATGTAGATTTTAATGAACTTCTTTTTCCCTTGTGTTCATTAATCCTTGTTTTTATAAATAGGTGAGTACAATGTAACTAGAGAGTAATTATGAGCTTCTGCAGAAATATTGTAGAGAACCATTTGATTAAATTCCACCCACCACAACTCCCCACTCTTCTAATGACTTCTGGGCTCTTCTATATTGGTGTGTTTCTCAGCTCAAAAAGAAAACAGATGAAATACTAGAGTTTGAACAAAGAAGATTTGAACTCCCTGAAATTAGACCCCTAGGTCACTTTATTCCTTCTCCTTCCAAGTCCAAGGAAATGGGTTTAAACAGCATTTTGTCAGCAAGATTGTCCTTGTTTTCGAGTAAGGAATCTTTGAGGTACAATTTCCTGGTGGTTAGAAAAATTTATACTTTTTTACTAATTCATTGTAGTTTTTTTTTATTTAATTCTGATATTTTCCCAAGCTATTGGGCTTAAACAGTAAATTTTCCTTAAACCCAACCTGGTAGAGTTATGCTATATTGCTTTATTTAGTGGTTGATAGTAATGCTATGAATATCAATAATAGCTACTTTTATTAAAAGTTTACTGAGTTATAGCTGCATCAAGCACTTTATCTTCACTGTCTCATTTAATCCTTGCAATCATCCTATAAGTTATTAATTTCACATATAGAAAAACTACAGCTTAGAAAAGTTAATAGGCAGTTCTTGCTTTGCAAGGTAGTAGAGGCTATAAAAATAGCCATGCAAGCTGAAACCATGCAAAGTAATCATAATAATTGATAGAAAACATTACTAGTGTTCTGTGACCTTTACATTTTATCTCAAAAATATTAAAGACTCTGTAACTGCTTTCAATGTATAGAGAAATAAAAAATAGTAAAACTTCTTTTTTTAGTATACTGCCATTTAAGAGAATTAAATTTTCTCTCTTTCTTTGAAAAACTATCAAGAGTAGTTTGAGCAGTGCTTCCCTTCTTTCTATGTCACCTATGATATAGAGTGAACATGCTTTCTTTTTGGTGCTTTGCAAATTGTTGTACTCTTTTCTGTGTTGGGATGAAGTTTAAGCATTTCATCCTTTACTCTTCTAATGTTGTGAAGTAGTTCCAAGAGTTCCTTAGGGTGATGTTCCACTTCCTCTGGAACACCACGCTTTTTATCACTCCCATTTTCCTCATTCATGTTCATAAGTTCACCTTCACAAAGCCTCTCAGAATGTGGAACTGGAGGCTTTCTCAAATAGTGACAGTATCAATATTCCCAGAGTCAGCTACTCCTTCTATAACTTCATTTATGCACATTCACTTCCAGCAGCATTACTTTTTTTCTGCACTTTCATCTTTGTTAGCCAATTCCCTCTTTTGATTATCCATTTTTGTAAAATGCATGCATGTGAGTTTATCACTAGGAGATCAGTAGGCAACACAACTACATGCTTTGCTGTCTCTGCCTGAACTGAATAACTCACACATACACACACATAATGGTCAATCACCAACAGACTTGAAAAGAAGTGATGTGACTGGTAGCTGATCACGATGCCCATCTGTTATTTACCTAGTAATCTCTGGACTGCAGAGCTAGCAGCATAGTTTGTACTTTATGCAATTACTCACAGTTAATATATATGGTAACTGAAATTTAAACCATGCAGTTGGGAGACAGTATTATTTTACTAAACTATGGTAACTGAAATTCGTTCTTATTGGCACACTGCAAAATGAGGACTGCCTGCAGTTGCTTATGTTACAGTTGGTACTGCCAAGGCCAAGATTTGAATTCAAGTCTGCTTAGCTCCTAAGCCCATGCTTTGACTAATGCCTTGCAATTACTTTAGAAATGCATGCCTCCCCAAAGGTAGGCAGTTTTTTCTTTTTTTTTTTTTTCCTGGAGGAGATATTGATGGAAAAGAGGTAGGTAGGGAGGAGGCTGGGGGGCAGGAGAGAGAAAACCAGAAAGGAGAGAAAAACGGAGAGAGGAAAGAAAGAAAAAGAGAAAACAAGCCAAAAAGCATGTAAGAACAAGAAAACAAACAGAGCTGGCAACAGCAAATCAGAGTGACAAAAAGAGAAGGAGAAGGACATAGGAAGATGAAGATAATAGAGTTCGGATTCCCAGAACAGTGACTCATTGGTTGTATGAAATAACAGAATGCTGCTATTTAGAAACTGTTCCCCACCCTCTTTCCTTGTCTAAATTCTGAACTCCTTAACTACTAAAATGGTGCCCTATTCATTTTTCATCTCATGCATGGAACACTACCTGACTCCATAGTACATATTATTGGATGAGCTTCAAAATTATAATATTGCCAACAGGGCATTTAAAATGATCTACTGTTGTCTGATAATTGATGTAAGAATAAAAGTACATAATGTAAAATATTCACTTCAATCATTTACCAAAATAAATTCCTCATTATTAAAGAGGCAAATATAAAATTCTAATCAAAAGTTGTTCTTTGGAAGAATATACCAGATTGACAGGCTGATAGCTAGATTAACAAAGAAAAAAAGAAAATCCAAATAAGAACAATCAGAAATGACAAAAGTAACATAACTGATCCCACAGAAATACAAAAGATCTTCAGAAACTAGTATGAATACCTCTATACAGAAAAACTAGAAAATCGAGAGGAAATGGATAAATTTCTGGAAATACACAAGTAACACATCTGCATGGGTACCCCGAATCTAAAACAAAAGTTGAAATTATTGAAAAAAATTCAAATCAAGCCAACAGATTTTTAAAAGTTATATCCATTTTCAGAGGAATGACAAAATCATAAAGAAATAATCAACAGATTCAATTACAAAAATATTTAAAGCCCCAAGACAACGATGAGTAACATAACTAAAATACAAAAGACCAAGAAAATACTTGCAGCAAAAATAAAGGCTCATAGAAATTGACAAAAAAAGTATGTAGACCCAAAGGGTAAACAAAGAATATGACAAGCCAATTCACACAAAGGGAAATACACTTACTTAAACATTGGGAAAATGGTCTCCAAAACTACCAAAATTACAAAAAAGCAGGATATTGCAACATTAACAAATATTCTAAGCAAAAATTCCTAATCCTGTTCAAAATATTTTTAAACTATTATCTAATACACTGACGGGGATAATTTAAATTTGTTCAACCCTCTTTGAAAAGTAATTTGGCAATGTATTTTATGAGATTTTTAAAAAATCATACAATTTAACCGAGGAAAATTACTCATAGGAATATCCTAAGAATAAAATATGAAAAACACATGGGCATGGATATTTCCATTTCAGTATTATTTACAAAATGAACTGACAATTACAGAACTGTATGAAATATTATGAAGCCATTATAAAAAGAAAAACAAGGAAATGTTTATGGTAAAATGATGAAAGAATAAAACAGAATAGAAAATTTTGTAGATGGCATTCTAAATATGTGTTCTAAACACGTATGACAATCCTAAGAATGTAAGCATAAAAATAAAAACCAGAAGACGGTATGACAAAATTAGAGTCGTTGATTGCAGGTCATCGAAATTTAGATTTTTTAAAAAACAAATTTTAATTTTTATAATTTTTTGTACCATGCATTTTTTAAATTGTATATTTTCACATCCTACTTCCTTGTGAGATCAGTCTTGCCGGAAGCTGACAATAACTTCTTCTTGAGGAACAGGAACCAAGGAAATCATCAAGCAAAAAAATGTACCTTCAGGTAAATATGTAGCCATTGAGTACACCCCATAATAATAATCTTTTCCTATACCTTATCAAAATAATAATCTTTCCCAATACTTTTTCCTACTTCAAAAGACTAGAACCTAAGTTAGACCACAGACAAAAATGAAGCCCCTGTTTTTTAAATTTCCTAAGAGGACTCAATATTACAATACCCAAAATGGATTTTATTTTTTGTGATTATATTTAAGCCATTTGAAGCCTCAGCTTCACGCCTTTCATCAGTGTGTTAGTCGTTTCAAACAGATATTTTCATTTTGCCACAAATTAAACCCTACTACTAATAACCGATCAAACTATTTCCTCTGGATAATCATGTAAGTACCAAATAAAAACGGTGATATAGTTTGATGATGTGATACCCAAATCACCTACTTGCTGGCTTAGTAATTAATGGAAATGAAATGCACAGAGCTACCACATAAACATATTGAGACCCGTTATGTTCGCAATCATTTTATTATCCTCAGTGCCTTAGAGTTTCGTGTTATTAATACCAATATATTTCCATCAGTTGAATCAATAAGGACGTGTTATAATGAATGTTTCATGCTCAGTCTTGAGGATAATAGAAAAACTGACAGACTAAAAAATGGCTGGTGTTCCCTTGTGTTCTAATCTGAGTCATTATGGTGGCTGCGGGGTTGTTATCCCGGCAGCTCTTTCCTCTCTTCACAGCATGCTGGTGTGTGCTGCCCCCAACCACTTTGCAGGCTCCCATGATGAGCTGCAGGATGGCAGACAAAGCCATGTTTTCTGGGGGTCAAAAGGCTGAGCCCCATCAGGATGTTCCTTTAAACAGGCTCTTCAGCTACAGCAGAAGGAGGATGTGGAGGCAGCTCTTCTTGCCCTATGGGAAGGGAAAGACAACCTCTCCTTCCACCAGCAGAGAGATGGAGCTCTCATCTCTTCTTCCTAGGGAAAGAGCTTGGAGGTAAGCACAGCCAAGCGTCAGAAAGCTGCCTTGTGGGCTGCCCAGCTGGACAAATAGAAAGTTACTGTACAATGTATTGTCATGATTAGGATGGTAAAGGGTGTTTCACGAGCCTATGAAAACAGTGCCTAGCTTTGTTCTAGAGAAAATTTCTCAAAGGAGGTGAAAAACAAATGGAGACATTAAGAGTGAGAAGTTAGCCAGAAGAATTGAAGGAAGAGAGGGGCCCGGGGAGAAATGTACTGTGCAGATCATTCATGCAAAGCAGATAAAGCTGACAAATCCTCTATCCATATGGATAGTAGCTAAGAGCATGTGGGGGAGACAAATAATACATAGATATTTGACAGGAGCTATGATAAAAAACAACACAATAGTAGGAAAGAATATGGGGATAGATATTTTATACAAAATCATCATGGAAGACAGCTCTGAGGAGGTGACATTTTAAAACAAACATCTGAAGGGAGTGAGGGAGTTAGACGTGGATTGGCTTTGTGATTAATGGAAATGAAATGCATGGAACTTCCACATTAAAATATTCTGGGCGAAGAGTCTTCCAAGACAAGGGAACAAAAAGTGCCGTTCTGAAGCAGTAGCACACGTTTGTTGTGTTGAAGGAACAGCATGAAGACCAATGTGGCAGATGCAGAGGTAAGAAAGGTAGCCTGGATATGGATTGTATAGGGTCTTGTAGACATTGGTCAAAACTTTCAAAAGATAGCTTTGGCTGCTGTCTTAAAAAAAAAAAAAAGAGTGGGGTGTGAAACATATGAGAAAACAAAGTGACAGGCTTAGACACAGTTGCAACATCACGAAACGAGGGTGATGGTGGCTTGGATTAAAGTTACAGCAGGGGAACTCAGATTCAGGATGTATTTTCAAGGTGCAAATGACAGGATTTGCTGATGAATTGAAAGCAAGGTATGACAGCAAGGTTGAGGAGAACAATGTCAAGGTTTATAACCTAAACAACTGAGTGAATGGTGGTTTCATTTAACTTAGATAAACACAGAAAGAGAAACAGGATTGGGACTAGTCGGGAGAAGAACTGGAAATCCTGAGTTCTGTTTTAGGAAAATGAGGCTAAAGATTATAGTCAGACTTCCAGAATTCCGCTACTTTTTAGTATATATGAATTTGGAATTCAGGGGGAAAGTCAAGGCAAGGTGTACACATTTGGAAGCTATCAGACTAAAGAGAGTATATAGAGAAATGGGCCTGAATGTAAGAGCAGAAGATATCTGAGGACTGAGCCCTAGCCCATTCCAACCTCACTTAGAAGTTGGGAAGAGGATGAGGTTTGAACAAAGGAACCTGAAAATAAGTAGCCAATAATACAGGGTAAAAATCAAAAGAGTATGTTGTCCTAGACATCAAGTGAAGAAAGCATTTCTGAAAGGAGGGGATTATAAATTGAGTCATGTGCCTCTAAAACAAAGATTGAGAATCAACCATTGGATTGAGCAGCATGAAGATCTCTGGTGATCTTTGCAATTTTGGTGAAGTGGTGGGGACAAAAGTTTGACTAGATTGAAAACATAGGAGAAAAGGAAGTGGACAGTGAATATAGCTAATTTGGTAAGAATTTTTGCAATAAAGAAGAGCAGAGAAATGAAGTGATAGATGAAAATGTTTGGTCTAGAAAATATGTTTCGTAAGGCACAAAATATTGCAAAATACTTGATTGACAAAAGGAAAGTAGTCAGGAGAAATTGTCAAGGGAAACTTATGGCACAAGAGAGATGGGAGAGTTGAGGAAGCAAGTCTTTATTAGGATGACAGGTGATTGTATCTGGGGCATAAGAAGACAGGCAAAACCTAGATGGGAGCAAGACTCATTCTTCCATAGTGCTGGAGGAAAAGGCAGCATTTGCAGGCACAGAAGTGTGGATGTGGGTGGAGCAGAGACCATCAGTTCACGGAGAGAAAAAGAAGTAGTTTTGTCAGGCTGGAGTCTAGAGTGTATAGAGGATAGTTGTTGAATGGACACATGACATCTTCAGTTGATCACCTCAAAATGAGTTTGAGATGTTGATCTTACATGATCATGACTTAGGTTTAAAAGAACTGCTTGGAGAAATTTCCAAATGTGCTTAAAATGAAATAATTGTACACTCTTTCAGCACATCTGCTTTAAATAATAACAAGAATGCCTAACATGTGCCACATGTCAAGCATTACTCCAAGTATTTTGCAGGTATTAGACTATTTAATCCTCGCAACAAATCTAGGAGGTAAGTACTATTATTATTCTCATTTTGCAAAGGAGAAAACAGAGGCATATAGAGATTAAATTACTTAAGACAAAAGTCTCACAACTAGAAAATGGCAGAGCTGGGATTTCAGCTCAGAAAGTCTGATACAAGAGCTCATGTTATCAATCATTTGCTATATTGCCCTTCTGATCAGCGGCCATCTCGAGGTGTAAGTTCTGTTAAACTTCTTTGTAAAAGTAATGAGCCTTTGTAGTCACTTCTTTGATGAATGACCTGCACAAGGTTTATAAAGTGTGACTGGGAGAGGGGCAAGTACAGGGAGATTGGGAGAATATTCCAGGAAGTCTGGCAGTCCAGCTTCCCCAGGTCTGGTGAAGAAGTGTTTGATCAAGGCGACACGTGGCCGTGCTCCTGAGAGTTCATGCTCCTACCTCCCAGGTCTCGCTGTCTCCGCTGTGCACCTCCTTGAACAGCTGCACTGGCTGAAGGACACTACGTGACCCAAAACAGGGGCTCACCCACCAAGCTTCTCCACAGCCAACTGTCTAAGCATCCAACCAAGCCATTGGGCCCAACAGGCAAACATGACTGCAACGTAAACAGCCAGTACTCACCATGTTCTCTCTGTATTTTCCAGACTTCTGTAGAGTTGGGATGAAACTACATGCTGAGATCTGGCCAGTGGGCTGTAAGTGGAAGTGACAGTGGCATGTGTCAGTCCCAACCCAATGCAGTTTAGAGTTGTTTTTCCTCCTCTATTTCCCTTTTCCTTCCTGGGCCAACACTTAATTCCAGATGGTGGATCCAGTTACTGACGGAAAGGGCCAGCTAATCCGCATCAGATTTTATGTGAATGAGAAATATACTTCTGCTCAGTGAAGCTATTGAGGCTTTGGAGGGTTGATTGTTGAGGCAGTTATCAGTAATTACCTTAATAAAGCAGGCAAGCAACTTTCAGTCACCAACATGGTTCCCAGGGGTCTAGGCTGTGGCCTCTGCTGGAGCAAGTGGTGAGGAGAAGAAAGGTTGAGCCCAGAAGTCACTCAACCAGCCTGCCATGATGGCAGAAAAGAGGAAGGGGCTTTGGTTGAAGGCCATTTTGTTGACGGAAACAGAAATTGCCTCAAGGTAGCGTAAGTACAAAGAGCTAGAGAAATGAGAGAAACTACTCTCTAGAAATAATAGTTCTCTAGAAATAGAAAGCTACTATTCTAATGGTAATATTTCTCAGGGCCATCTAAAAAGCCAAAGAATAAAATGTGTCTGGGATAAAAAAGGACAGACAAAAATTAGAAAATCAGAGAAGTTAACCATTCTCAGGAATCATATGGTTTCTCCTCTCTCTGGTTCTCTTTCTCTGCTCTTGGCCTGGCTTCATCTGATTGCACTTGACTCTGCTTGGATACACGGTTCTGACCCTATGTGATCTCTCATGAGTGTCTGCCACCATCCGAGTGGCTCAATCCCAAACTATCTTGATTCCAAATTCCTTTGTGACAGAATGGCATTGGTTCAGCCAACCCATCTGTGCTTGACCTGAATCAGGTGGCTATGATCTTCACCAAGTTCAATTAGAACTGGCCACAGGGAAGGGTCTTATGACCTCAAAAGTGGCTGTGAGAGATGGGGCTAGGCAATTTCAGATCAGGTACTGGGCCAAGAACTTAAAACAGGTCTACCACAGAAGAGAATTTCTAGGAGGCTTTATGACAGAATTGCTAAAACACTTAAGGAGTTAAAGGAGGCATTATAGAGACGAAAAGATACAGTGTAAGTAGAAAGAAAAAGAATGTCAGGCCAGAAGGAGGAATGAATGCGGAAGTGAGCCCCAAGTCAGAGTTGGCTTCAACTCAGGGCAGGCCAACAGCTGCAGAGGGTGCTGATCTGCCATGCACGCAAAAGCATCATTGAAACACATTGGAAATATAGGGCCAGTTAATTTCAGGCTTCCATATGTGGCATCACCAGAGAAATGTAAATTGGTTCTACTGCCACTGATCTAGAAGTATCCTCAAATATACAAAATATGTTGATATTCCTTACTAGGGCTGCATGTCTCTACTGACATTTCTGCAAGTTGCACAGAGCAGCTGCAACTCCAAACCAGCCCACTGACAGTTGCCTGAGGTTAACTCTCAGAGTCAACAACATTTGAAAGTGGTTTTATGCCTAACATAGAACTATTTAGCAAAAATAAAAGATTTATTTTTACATACATTTCAAATTCTATAATACGTCTCCCAAGGAAGATACTTCAAGCTTCAGGAAGTCACCAAAGAGAGCTGAAAAGAGAACAGAACTATAGAAAAGTGTTTTTGTGGAATTGTTTTCACAACATTGACTCTGCTTGTGCCAGCTGAACTGATTAAGTAAACATGTTTCAAAATAAAATATATGTTAATAGAAGATGAGTTATCATCATCTCCATTAAATGTTTAGAGACTATTGGTTGGAACGGATGTCACATTATTAGCTTGTTTGGTAAGCATCTTAATTCAGCTTTGGTTGGCCTGTGCAAAAACAGGAAATAAGTCACTGTCCAGTCCTCAGCGATCATGCTGATAATCATGGAAAACCCTAATTACCCAGGAAAATGACGACAACAAAAAAATGCTAGATGGTGTCTGCTAAATGGTGTGGTATAAAGCCTCAACATCCAATGTACCCTGAAGACCCCTACAAAGGAAAAGAAAGAGAACACTTCTTGAGATTGTTTGTACAGAGTTAATAACTTA
Source organism: Homo sapiens (assembly GCF_000001405.40). Taxonomy (NCBI): domain Eukaryota; kingdom Metazoa; phylum Chordata; class Mammalia; order Primates; family Hominidae; genus Homo; species Homo sapiens. Next base: position 109,747,073 of record NC_000011.10, read on the forward strand.
ATCCTGTGGTTACAACTTAATTCAGGTATAAAGACAAACTTTATGAATGAAGGAAAAAAATCATTTCAATAAACTGTGACACACTCTCTCTTAATCCTCGCTTCTTCACATAGTAAACACGGATCCAAAACATTTCCACAGTACAAGAATGAATAAACTTCCACAGACTTATTAAATGAGTTTCTTTTACGATGTAGTACATTAAAATTTCCTTCTTTTTTCTCTTTCTTTCTAGGATCTTTAACACCCCCTATCCGGTGTTACCTCAATGCTGGTATTCATTGCATCAATTTGTTGAGAATTTGCTAAATTAAACTAAACTACTCATGGAGACTCTACTGTGTGTAGGATAGTGTGCCAGGTATTACAGGGACTATAATGTTGAACTAGAGTTCAGCATCTAATACAGAAAATCACCTCTTAGTCGTGGCTGGGAGGTGGACCATGGTATGGAACTGAATTCACACAGTAGGAGACACCAGAAATCCAGGGTAGCAGAAAGAAGATAGGACCCTAAGGATAGGCCCCTTAGAGGATTGATGCTGGCCAAGTCAGCCCCTGGGATGAGGAAAGGCCAGCAGAATGACAATATCCAGCTAGATAGAGGGAAAGGAGCTCAAAGGAATTTCATAGCAGGTGAAGCTCACACATGAGGAAATTCATAAGGAGGGGCTAGGAACTGGGACCTGACCCTCAGGGCAGAGGCTTGGGGAAGCCACAAGCAGGGATTCTCTAGGTTGTGGAAGCCCTAGGGACCTGGGACAGAACCTTGGAGAATGCTGTCATTTAGGGGACATAAAGAAGTCATAGTGAAGAGGAAATGAACATGACCTCAGGATATTGCAGTGTCACAGAAACTAAATGGAGGAAGAGTTTGTGGGAGGAGGTATTAGTCACCAGAAAGCGGACAGAAAAAGCCACCAAGTACTGATTAGGAAGCTATGAGAGACCTTCTGGAAAGCCCTGGTGAAGGACAGCTAAAACAGTTGCCTAAGCAGTTCTCTGTGCCTTCACTAGACAATTCTGGCAGGTTCGCATGACGGGCATCTTCATGGCAAACGCCACACTCATCTATGATGAATCACGTTTTCTTTCTGAGTGTCAGTGCACATGACTCCCAAATAGTATGAATGTAAGTCATTCTTAATTCCGACAGGTACTCGACTGTGTTTCCAAACAGAAAGGGAATTATTTTTTTCTAACCTTGCTATTGTGAGAGCTGAAAGTCACTCACTGGATTTAATTCTTTTTTTGTGATCAATTATTTTATGACAGTGAGATATCTAAATTGCCATTTGGATTGGCTGCAGGAATAAGGCTTACAAAACAGCAACAGTGTAGCTGGGGACCTGCAAGCAATGAGACAGAGTAGTGGGCTAACCACTGTCATGTGTGAGGGACATAGTCATGCGGCTGTTCATTCTCAACACATAGTGCCTGTAGACACAGCTAAAAGGCGCCTGTCTGGGTGGGTAGTGGGGATGTAGAACACCAAAGTCCCAGGACACACCCACATGATAAAGAGTAAACACTCCTCCTCCTTTTGCCTTTTGATATAGGAGTTATAAAGTATTTTTCAAAAAGGTCTGCCTTTGCCAATTATACTTCATGTCATACCTGTATTTTTAAAAGAATTAGAAGCTCTGAGTTGGAAACATTGCCACATTACTTCCTAGCTGTGTGATTTTAGGCAAATCTATTTACCTCTTCTGTGAGCCTCATCTATAAACAGGGATAAGACAATCCCATCTTGCAAGCAGGGCTTACAGCTCCTGCATGTAAGATATCTTGCACAAGCAGATGATCAGTAAATGATAGTATTACATTATTATTGACAAGTGGATCTTCATCTCTCTAGCTCTTGTAAATACAACAGTTCAATAAAGGAGAGCATGATAACCTGGTAGAAATGAGGACTTTAATGCTAGGCTGTTTGCCAAATTTAAGCAGAAGAGCAGGGACATGACTGATGTATTAAGCTCCAGTCTTAATATATCCCTTATAGAAAATGCCAAGGGAAGATCATGGCCCAGTGGCCCACCAGTTCAGTTCCCAAAGTGCCAAGTCTGTGAACCCGTCTTTGTTTGACACATCCTTCCTAGGGATTAAAAAAAGGAAAGAAAGAACAAAAACCTTAAACTCCTAAACCATTAAAGGGGAGCTGGGGGAAAAGATGAATCCCACATCCACTGAAGAAAGTTGAAATATAGAAGCAGTTGAAATATGAAATTCAGCCAATAGAAAAGAGAATAAAATCTCAAGACACCTTTCAGGGTCGAACATGTCCAGTCACTAAGACATGAATTGTGTTGTGTATGTTCTGCTTTTTTAGGCAAGGTATGAGCTTCAGAGGCATAACTTGCTGAAAAAAATGAGAAAAGTAAGTGGTGGTTTTTTGAAAGCTGATCATGCACTCAGGCTGTTGACATTTGCTCCGTGGTTTTATATACCACTATCTGAGAACCATGAGTATTTTTCACTATAAATGCCTGAATGGATGTACTGTGTCTGCTGGCTTTGGAGACCAGAGTCAACTTAAATTACCCAGGGCTTAGATGGGAGCCAGTGTGGAGAACAGCAGTCAGCTAGATTTCAAAGTGCAGCTTGGAGTTTACAATCCCTTTAGCCCTAAGGGATGCTGACCAAAGGGTAGTGAGCAAAATTGGTGGATGCCTCAGAGGATAAATCTGAGAACAAAACATGTTGGAGAGAGACAGGAAGAATACAGACATTAGTTCATGTGATTCAGTTGCAAGTGATAAAAAAAATCTGCTTGGGATAGACAAAACAAAGAAAAGCATGAGATTTACTGAAAGGGATTAACACAAGCCAAGGGTCTTGTGTTACCACACCCTGGGACAGGCAGCATTGCAGCAGGCATTTGTGGACTATCCTGCTGGACAGGACCAAGCTCTCAATGTCCAGTATCTGTGAGTCTCAGTGAAATTGTGCCTCGCAGGGTGAAATGGACCAAAGAGCAGGATTAAAGGGGGCTGGTGACTAACAAAATTTATGAGTTTGTTTTCAGGATGTCTACTTACAGGACCACAGGGCCAGTTGAAGCTGGCCAGAATCAATGTCTGACTGGAGCTTGTACCAAGATTTGCCTGCCCACTGGGTGAACTTTTGACAGCACAGCCCAAATTTCCACCACATGTTCCGTATCAAACCCCCTTAATTTACATGTTCAACCCATGAAGAGATACGACAGGATAACTGCACATGCCCAAGAGGCTTTCCTAACTTCCCTTTACCCTCCACCAATCCTTAACCAACCCAGAGACCCAACTTCTAAAACTGCTGCCCTTAAATACACAACTTGTGAGCCGAAGAGGGAAGATGGATTTGAGCCCATCTTCTGTCCCCTTCCTCAGCCATCTTAAAATAATCCTTTCTCTCTACAAAAAATCAGGTGCTGCAGTGTTTGGCTTTCAGTTGAATGTGGGCTAATGGACCCAGTTCAGTTAGGTAATACCAGTTTTGACAAACCAAAGCACATATTTGGCTGAGGTGTGTCGAGGGAGGCACATTCTGAGGAAAGCATGGTTTTACCAGGCACCTTTCTTGAGCATTAAGTGTCTCCCAGAGAACAGGGGTCAAACCACTACTCAGTGCTTGTTCACCATGTAGAAGAATGGAGAAAGAGATGGGACAGGAAACAGGACTCCTCCATTGACAGGGTGTTTCCAGCAACTGATAAGTATTTATGGCATGGACTTTTATCTAAAATGACATTTGAGAGACAAGAAAAGTAGAAACAACCCATGTATCAATGGAGGGATATGGAAAACATGATATATGCACATAATGGAATATCATTCAGCTTTAAAAGGAAGGAAATTCTGACATAGGCTACAACATGAATGAACCTTGAGAACATTATGCTAAGTGAAATAAACCAGTCACAAAAAGACAAATACTGTATGATTCCATTTATGTGAGGTGCTTAGTCACATTCGTAGATACAGAAAGTAAGTACAATGTTGGTTGCCAGAGGCTGAGGGCAGGCAAGAATGGGGAGCCAGTGTTCAATGGGTACAAAATTTCAGTTTGGGAAGATGAGAAAATTCCAGGAAGAGATGGTGTAATGGTTGCACAATAATGTGAATGCTCTTAATGCCACTGAACTGTACACCTAAAATGGGCTAAAATGATAAATATTATATTATGTATATTTACAATATAAAAAGCAAAAAAAAAAAGAAACCTATATACATTACGAAGAAGGGAGCAAAGAGAAAGCAAATGAATGTTTATGTTTGAATTATTTCATAATATTAATAACAATTTCTATAGTAAAACAGCAAATGTTCTCTGGTCTACAGAAACCTGCCATTGTACCCTTTGTTTAAATCTAGGCATGAGTCATTTAGGGGTTTGCATATGCCATTTATTTCCTTTTTTTGTTGTGCTTTCTTTTGTCCCCAGAAGAGCCCACCAAAGCACCCTGCAAGGAAAAGCATCAGCACTTGAGTATCTGTCACACAGAAAGCCTCAAGCTAAGTAACTACAGCACTAAGTGAGACCTTCCCCTTACTCTTTCTTTTTCCTGTCACAATCCTGAAAAAATCCAGAGGCCCAGAGCAATGGAAAAGGGAGCAGGACAGATGTGAGGCCCTGATCTAGAGGAGGGGGAAGTTGTAGGAGAAATTGAAATGTTGATGTAATACTAGACAGGACTTCTTAAGATGAGACTTTTAGATGTCAGGAAGTGGTAAAAATAGCTAGAACATTTGCCTGAACCATTATTGGGGGGTGGGAAAAGGAGTTTCAGCACATCAGATTTAAAAGGCAATACTGAGAAAAAATAGTTGCTTCCTACTTGCACCCTACTAAAAGCAGCTGGCTCAATAGCAGAATTAAGCCCATATTACATCTTTGCCATGATCCTAAAGAGATAGAGATTATCCTCTTCCCATGTAAGGAAACCAATATTTGAATAAGTCAATGAATGTATCCAAGGTCCTATTAGTAAGTTAAAGGATCAGGGTCTAAAGCCTACACAGTTCTCTATGTGCCATGCTACCTGCCTCCCGAGTAGCTGGGACTACAGGTGCCTGCCACCATGCCCAGCTAATTTTTTGTATTTTCAGTAGAGATGGGGTTTCACCATGTTAGCCAGGATGGTCTCAATCTCCTAACCCTGTGATCACCCCGCCTCAGCCAACCGAAGTGCTGGGATTACAGGCGTGAGCCACTGTTCTCGGCCCTACAAATACTCTTAATACACCAGTACATGAGCATGCAAAGGACAGAATGTAATGACACTTTCTTTTGTAATGTTTGCTAGGAAGGAACCTTGCAGTGACTGTGGCAACACGATACTGCCAAGGATATCAGTTTGGCCTCCAAAATGAGGTTTTCTGGAATGCAGGATCTGAGACTCCCAGTTTTAAGCCAAGGATTTAAGGAAGTTCATTGCAATTGCATTACCAGTATTTATAAGTTTTAACTTTGAATTCAATCCTCATTTAGTGGGTGAGGTAAATAATGGTTGGTGCTTTGTGAACTTTTATGGCTGGAGTGATGGATGGCCTAAACAATTGGCAGTCTGCTCTATCCATTCATTAACTCTAAACTACATATTTTCCAGGTTCAACTCTGAACTTAGGTATTTCAAATAGATGACATATTTCCCCTTGTTCTCCAGGCTGCTGTATTTATAGCCCTTGCCTTCTGAATCCTCACTTTTCCCTCTTTAGATGTCAATGATAGTTCCATCCACTCCAGAAAACTACTATGGAGGAGGAAGAAAAAAATTAAGGCCATTATGACAATTTTTTTATCCTTCAACTGCCTCCCCTGTATCATTCTGCCTGTGTATGGGGGTAGCATCCCATACACCAATTCTCCTGTTAAATTCAGATTTCTTAAAGCGTATTTCAAACAGCCTGTAGGTGTTCTTTCTCCCGACATGTCACCTATCTCTTTCTTAGTAACTGTTCAGTTCTATTTCCTTCCCTACATAGCTAATAAAAGATCCAAGAAACAAAAAGTCTTTCAAAAGACATCTCCACCTATGTCAGCTATACATAGCTATGAGTGCTTTCCCCAAAGGTCAGTGTCAGGAATTCACATCTTCTGGTCCTGCTACAATTGAGGCCAGTGGTTCTTGGCCTTGACTGCTCAGCAGAATCACCTGGGAAAATACTAAAACATACTGGGCATCACACAAGACTCATTAAATTAGAAACTCTGGAGAAGTCATTCAGGCATGGGTAGATTGTAAGTCCTCCCAGGTTCTTCTAACATACAGCCAGCATTGCAAACCAATTTTCAAGGTCACGGCTACTCAAAGGGTGATTGCAGACCAGTGCTGGTCAGTGAACTTTGTTACCATTTGAGACAACATAAGTTCATGCCAGCATCCAGTATATCATTACACACACTTTGGTTCAGCTGCCATTTTTTTTTTTTAATAGCAAGAATGTCTCAGTGAAAGAAGCAGTGCATTGATTTACTCTCCAGCAAAAGCTCCTTAGCTGTTCACTGATATACAACCAAGAATTTGAAGGCTGATTTCTTTGGGTAGCCCTTCTGTAAGTCTTTTTGGCATGCTCAGATATTTCCAGAATTCTTTTATTTCTGTAGCCTCTTTACATCCTGAGCATTTACTTCCAACATTTATTGTTATAGTTCTGAGTACTATGTACCAAGGAGGTTATCAATGTCCCTGAACTCTCTAGCATCACTTTACTAGGTTTGAACTTCTGCCATTGAATGCGTATTATTCAATGGATTATTAAAATGTGCAGAAGACCAGATTACCCAGACACTGGGCCACTGGAGAAACTGTGAAGGGCTTTGAAGTGTTTGAGACTTCAGGGATTCCAGTTCAATGGCAATAGGCATGCTCTGCCTTCTCCTCCACTCTCCCAGTCTTTCTTTGTTCTCTCCCCTCTATTCTCTTCTACTCATGGTCAGCTTGGGGGGGTATACAGGAAAGTCACTGACCAATATAGAAAAATATGGAAAACCTCAGGACAGGGCCTACCCCTATACTCCCAAACCAGGGCCATTACTCCAAAAGACATTCTTTCTTCTGGATCTTGAAAGTCATGTTAGGTAAGGGAGTGTTTCAAACAGCCTGTAGGTGTTCCAGGTGAGGCTGAAAATATTCCTGGAATGTGTTAAACTTAATGATCCAACAATTTAAATAGAAGAACAGAGTAATATACTGTAGAAATCAGAATAAAGATAAGCATTTTGTGGGAAAAAGAGAAAGTGCAAATAGACATTTAAGAGCTCCTTAGAAGGCAGCATAAGAAAAGGAATTCTGCATTTGAAACAAGATCTCATTTTCTATCCTGAATCTCTCTCTTTATATTTGTTAGACAGTGTTTTCAACATATTCATGCATGAGTTTTCACATTTACAAATAGGTCACAGAGCATTTGCCACCAGATTATTGGGAGGCTTAAATGTGGTAATGTATGTACAAACAGCCCAGTGCATAGCACCAAGTAATTCTGTGTTCATTCATTCATCCTCTCAACAGATATCTATTGTCAGGCACTGTGTGAGGCACCAAGCATCTGGTGGAGGGAAAAACAGACATTACTGCTGCCCTCATGGGGCTTAGAGGCACATGGAGACACAGAGAAGAATCATCAAATCATAGACATAAATGTATAAATAGACATATAATTCAAATGGAAACAAGTTAGTATGAGCAAACATAATGGAGACATCTTATCTCATTTGGGGTTAGGAAGCATTTTCCTAAAAAAGCCATGTTTAAGCCTAACTCTGAAGGAGTTCACTGGGTATGAGGTCAGGGAGGAGACTTGACTCTAGAATAAAAAATAAGAAGGAAACTTTTAGTTATGATATTAACTCCATATAAATCAGCCTCAATTGAAAAAGAATATACAGACTGACATAAATGAGAAGTCTAAGATCTGGCACTGCCTTCCAGCACTGGCTCAGACAAATGTCACCAATCATCTGTCTTTTTTCTGCATCTCCCGACCCACTTCTCCTTTGTATTAGCTTCATTCTCAGACAGGCTTTCTCCACTCCACTATAAAATACACTGAACATAGAACATACCTAAAAGCTGTTATCTCAGAAGATGAGAGGTTCTCTTTCTCCTAGAATTCATATTGACAGACAAAGTAGGACTCTCATTGACCCGTACTTGGGGTATAACATCCAACTCTGAACCAACCACTGGAGTACCTTGATGTGGCAGGTTGGGCCCTATGCTCCTCTTGTGAGCGGAAGATGAAGCCAAGTGACAGAAAACCCAACAGACTGAGGAGAGGCATTTTGGAAAGAAAGAGTGGGCGATGAACAGAGAGGGAACTCACAGATGTCTAATACAGGTCAATTGATGTAATATTGGGCATAAGAGCAATGGGAAACAATGTAAGGCTTTTAAACAAGGAGGTGAAATAATCATTATATCTGCACTTTGATACAAATCACCTGAACTGCAATGTGGACAGTAAATTGGAGGCTGCATAGCAGATGTGGGCAGACCAGTTAGGCTCCTTCAGGCTGAAGATAACAATATGAACTAGGGTGGTAAGAACATAGATGTAAATAAAAGGATCAATTAAAACTAGTTCAAATCAGTAGTAAAATCAACCATAAAGAAAAACAGGGTAAAATTATCAGTGGTTGAATATAGATTGGACATCTGAGAGGAAAACAGAACCAGTCATTATGGGGAAGACCTTGAACATGATCTTACACATGTTGAGGTTGGGGTGCCTTCGAGATAGTAAAATAAAGCTGATGAATAGGTCATTGGATCTGTATGTCCAGAGTTCCTAGAAGTTATACGGACTGGAGATGCAATTTTGGGAGTCAGTTGCTGGTCAAAGCCATGAGTATAGATGAGATTGACTAGGAAAATAGCACAGAGTGATAAGAGCCTATGACTGAACTTAGAGGACATGCAATTCAATAAACAAATGTTTACATGGTTTTGGCCAAAGTCAGACATCCTATTCATCTATGCAGAGCCCATTTTTCTCTTCGTAGTTGCACATCTTCCTTCTGTTCTATACACTCACCCAACAGCATGCTTCCTAATTTGACCCTTTTAATGGGAATGATTTCACAGATTATTTTAAATTGCTACATGAAAAACAAATTACAAAGATTGAATATCCAAGTATAGAGGTTATTGTTGTAATTAAACAAAACCCACAACAGAGTTAATCAGGTGCATATTGTAATGCTATGCATAATTTTTATTATACTGCATACAAATTAGCCTCAAATGGTAGGCAGTTCATGAAAATGACTGCAATCAGTATGGCTGTTACGCAGCTAAACCAAATCAAATTTTTAATTTTTCTCTTTTTACTGGATTAGTTCTCCAGTATGTCATCATTGTTAATGTCGACTTGTTTTCCTGTGCATTATTTTATCATACACATACATGTGCACACATGTGCATGCACACTCACGAACCGTGAAAATTTTTCATCAATGGCTAGAATTACCTTGTTCCTGGCACTCTTATTAAATGTATAACAATTAGATTAAGCTAGGTTAAGGCAAGATAACAAATGACCCCCAGAATCACAGTGACTCATAACAACAGAAGTTGAGTTCTTATGTTACGATATGAATAATCTCTCTCTCTCTACCCTCCCTATTGTCTTTGGGACTCAGGATAATGAAATAGTTTCTATTCTGGATAATTTATGGTCATTGTAGCAGATAGAATGAAGGGAGAACACAGATTAACAATGTTCACTCTTAGAGCTTCTTCCCAGAAGTGACACCAACCACTTCCATTCATTTCATCAGCCAATGCAAAGTTACACAACTAGGCAGTAGTCAGGAAAGACAATGCTTCCCCAGGGCAAGCAGAAAATATTTTGAAAAATACAATTTCTTATCCTGCCTCACTTCTGTAACTCCTCCTTGGAACCCCAGATTTGAGGGGGTTTTGCCCTTTCACTTACTGTCATCTTGCCAGTTCTCCCCAGTATCCTCATACGAGCTGCGTTCTAAAACAACAACACTCCACCCCACAATTCTCTGCTGAGTGTCTTGGCTACAAGGTGGTTTGTGACAGCAAAACTCCACAGCACTGAGGCTCTGGGTTGGCTGTCCAGCAATCACCATGATGTGGGAGTTGAGGAGGTGGTGGTGGCAAACCAGAGGGAATGTGCAGCAGTGAAGACAAAGATACGGGAGAGAATACACTGAGAAAGAGGTATGCTAGTGCACAGCCTACAAAAACTTATTTTTAGAACATCCCTAGATACTCTAGGATGAATATAGGGATAAGCATAATATTTCCCACATTGTATATATATTCTATCAAGTATCAGAGCTAGTATTCAAATCAACAGGCTAGTATTCAAATTAGCCTATACTGCCTAACCCTGTCACTACCCTCTACTCACATCCTCAGCCTCCCCACTCCTTGCTATGCCTGTTGGATTCCATGCCCCACCTGACAAACTTATTTGCACTGCACTCCTTTTCCCTAAGCCGGCCCTCTCCAGGGGGGAACATCCATTTCTTCAGGTTTTGCCCTCCCAGTTTGCTCTGCTGTTCTATAAATAACCATCCCATGGATGAAGCAGCCTTTGCAAAGAAAAATGTGTTAAGTATGAGAAGGTCATGGTTCTCATCTCTTCCAATACCAGCGAATGAATTTCTATCAAGGGTGATAGTGCTATAGATCAACGTTTGCTTTTTTTGGGAGAAAGTCCAGAAAAGCAGTGAGGTCTTGGAACCCAAGCACGGAAGAGAACACTCACAAAGAAAAAGAGAATCAGAAAGAGAGGCTAAGTAAGCAATTGTCTTTCTAAGATGACCATTTTCCTTCCATTCTCCCAATAAAGACCAGTTTCTCTCTCTCTCTCTCTCTCTCTCTCTCTCTCTCTCTCTCTCTCTGTGTGTGTGTGTGTGTGTGTGTGTGTGTGTGTGTGTGTGTGTGTGTGTGTCGGGGTGGGGTGTGGGGTTTTATGTAGGGGAATGGGGTACATGTGAGCGTGTATGGGAACAGTGTATCAGGTAATAGGTAAGGCTGCAAGGCAGGAGCTTTGAATCTTATTGAGGAGATTAGCAGGACTTTGAACACTAGATTGACTACAGAGCTTCAGATATTCTATTCCTTCCCAGTTTCTCTCAGGGTCATCTGGTCGAGTTTTAGATGGGCCATAACCCCAAACTCCCTTACTAGTTTTTGCTCATGCCAGTGCCATATAGCTTTCTTAGAGTTTTCACCTGACCTTTTAGGTTATTTTTTTCCCAGGGCTCTCTGTTCTCTATAATCCTAGTATGTTTCTTGGGTATAGGATAATAACGGTATTTTAAAAAATAATAATTTCAACTTTATTTTAGATTCAGTGAGTATACGTACTGGTTTGTTACACAGGTATATTTTGTGTTGCTGAGGTTTGGGGTACTATAGATGATCCTATCACTCAGGTAGTGAGCATAGTACCCAATAGGTAGTTTTTCAGCCCATTCCCCCTACCCCTGCTAGTAGTTCCCAGTGTCTATTGTTTCCATCTTTATGTTCATTTGTACTAAATGTTTAGTTCCCACTTATAAGCGAGAAGAGGCAGTATTTGGTTTTCTGTCTCTGCCTTAATTTGCTTAGGATAATAGCCTCCAGTTGCATCCATGTTGCTGCAAAGGACATGATCTTGTTCTTTTTTTATGGCTGCACAGTATTCCATGAGTATCTATGACATTTTCTTTATCCAATCCACTGTTGACAGGCATCTAGGTTAATTCCATGCCTTTTCTATTGTGAATAGAACTGTGATGAACAAGAGTACATGTGTCTTCTTTGTAGAATGATTTTCCTTTGGGCATATACCTAGTAATGGGATTACTGGGTCAAATGGTAGTTATCTTTTAAAAGTTCATCCCTTACTTACACCTTACACAAAAATTAATTCAAGATGGATTAAAGAATTAAACATAAGACCAAAAACCATAAAAACCCTAGAAGAAAACCTAGGCAATACCATTCAGGACAGACATGGGCAAAGACTTCATGACTAAAACACCAAAAGCAATGGAAACAAAAGCCAAAATAGACAAATGGGATCTAACTCAACTAAAGAGCTTCTGCACAGCAAAAGAATTTATCATCAGAGTGAACAGGCAATCTACAGAATGGGAGACCATTTTTGAAATCTATCCATCTGACAAACGGCTAATATCCACAATCTAAAAAGAACTTAAACAAATTTACAAGAAGAAAACAACCCCACCAAAAAGTGGGCAAAGGATATGAACAGACACTTCTCTAAAGACATTTATGCAGCCAACAGACACAAGAAAAAAATGCTCATCATCACTGGTCATGAGAGAAATGCAAATCAAAATCAAAATGAGATACCATCTCATACCAGTTAGAATGGCGATCATTAAAAAGTCAGGAAACAACAGGTGCTGGAGAGGATGTGGAGAAATAGGAACACTTTTACACTGTTGGTGGGAGTGTAAAGTAGTTCAACCATTATGGAAGACAGTGTGGTGATTCCTCAAGGATCTAGAACTAGAAATACCATTTGACCCAGCAATCCCATTACTGGGTATATACCGAAAGAATTATAAATCATTCTACTATAAAGACACAAGCACACATATGTCTATTGCAGCACTGTTCACCATAGCAAAGGCTTGGAACCAACCCAAATGCCCATCAGTGATAGACCGGATAAAGAAAATGTAACACATATACACCATGGAATACTATGCAGACATAAAAAAGGATGAGTTCATGTCCTTTGCAGGGACATGGATGAAGCTGGAAACCATCATTCTCAGCAACCTTACACAAGAACAGAAAACCAAGCACCGCATGTTCTCACTCATAAGTGACAGTTGAACAATGAGAACACATGGACACAGGAAGGGGAACATCACACACTGGGGCCTGTTGGAGAGTTGGGTCTAGGGGAGGGAGAGCATTAGGAGAAATACCTAATGTAGATGACGGGTTGATGGGTGCAGCAAACCACCGTGGCACATGTATACCTATGTAAAAAACTTCCACATTCTATACATGTACCCCAGAACTTAAAGTATAATAATTTTTTTAAAAAGTTCTTTGAGGAATCTCCAAACTGCTTTTCACAGTGACTGAACTAATTTACATTTCCATCAACAACATATAAGCATTTCCTTTCTCTGCAGCCTTGCCAGCATCTGTTATTTTTTGACTTTTTAATAATAGCCATTCTGACTGGTTTGAGATGGTATTTCATTGTGATTTTAATTGGCATTTCTCTGATGATTAATGATGTGGAACATTTTTTCATTTGTTTGTTGCCCACGTGTATGTCTTCTTTTGAGAAACTTCTGTTTATGTCTTTTGTTCTTTTTTAAATGGGGTTATTTGTTTTTGCTTGCTGATTTATTTAAGTTCCTTCTAGATTCTGAATATTAAACCTTTGTTGGATGCATATTTTGCAAATATTTTCTCCCATTCTGTAAGTCGTTTACTCTCTTGATGGTTTATTTTGCTGTGGAGAAGCTCTTTTTGCCTAATTAGGTTCCATTTGTCAATTTTGGTTTTTGTTGAAACTGCTTTTGGGGATTTAGCCATAAATTCTTTGCCAGGGCCAATGTTGGAAAGAGTATTTCCTAGGTTTTCTTCTAGGATTTTTTTTTTAATTTTTTTTTTTTTGAGATGGAGTCTTGTTCTGTTGCCCAGGCTGGGGTGCAGTGGTGCAATCTTGGCTCACTGTAACCTCCGCCTCCTGAGTTCAAGCAATTCTCCTGCCTCAGCCTCCCGAGTAGCTGGGACTACAGGTGCGTGCCACCATACCCAGCGAATTTTATGTATTTTTAGTAGAGATGGGGTTTCACCATGTTAGCCAGGATGGTCTCTATCTCCTGACCTCATGATCCACCCGCCTCGGCCTCCCAAAGTGCTGGGATTACAGGCATGAGCCACTGCACCCGGCTGCTCTTCTAGGATTTTTATAGTTTGAGGTTCAAATTAATCCATCTTGAGTTAATTTTTGTATATGGTAAAAGGGTTCAGTTTCATTCTTGTGCACATGGCTAGCCAGCTATCCTAGTACCATTTATTGAATAGAGAGTTCTTTCCCCATTGCTTATTTTTGTCAACTTTGTTAAAGATCAGATAATTGTAGATGTGTGACTTTATTTCTGGGTCCTCTATTCTGTTCCATTCATCCAGTGATAGACTGGATAAAGAAAATGTGGCATATATACATCATGGAATATTATGCAGCCATAAAAAAGGATGAGTTCATGTCCTTTGCAGGGATGTGGATGAAGTTGGAAACCATCATTCTCAGCAAACTTACACAAGAACAGAAAACCAAGCGCCACATGTTCTCACTCATAAGTTGGAGTTGAACAATGAGAACATATGGACACAGGAAAGGGAACGTCACACACCGGGGCCTGTTGGTGCCTATGTGTCTATATTTATACTAGTACCATTCTGTTTTAGGTACTGGAGCCTTATAGTATAGTTTGAAGTTGAGTAATGTGATGCCTGCATCTTTATTTTGTTTTTCTTTCTTTTTTTTAACTATGGATTGATTTTGCCATTTGGGCTCTTTTTTGGTTCCATATAAATTTTAGAATACTTTTTTCTAATTAGGTAAAAAAACAACATTGGTAGTTTGATAGGAATAGTGTTGAATCTGTAAATTTCCTTGTGCAATATGGCCATTTTAATGATGTTGGTTCTCAAAATAATAAGAGCCATCTATGACAAACCCATACCCAACATCATACTGAAGAGGCAAAAGCTGAAACCATTCCCTTTGAGAACCAGAACAAAGCAAGGACTCTCACCACTCCTATTCAACATAGTGTTGGAAGTCCTAGCTACAACATCAGGCAAGAGAAATAAATAAAAGGCAACCAAATAGGAAAAAAAAATTAAATTATCTCTCTTTACTGACAACATGATTCTATACCTACAAAACTCTAAAGACTCCACAAAAATGCTCCTAGAACTGACAAATGACTTCAGTAAAACTTCGGGATTCAAAATCAATGTACAAAAATCAGTAGCATTTCTACACACCCGTAACATTCTATCTGAGTGTCAAGTTAAGAACACAATCCTATTTACAATAGCCACACACACAAAATGAAATATCTAGGAATGCAACCAGCCAAGAAGGTGAAAGATCTCTACAAGGATAAGTACAAAACACTGCTGAATAGAAATCAGACATGATACAAATAAATGAAAAAACACTTCATACTCATGGACAGGATAATTATTGCAATTCTTTTGATAGCCCAATTTGTGGCTTCTGTATGATGCTGACAATTCTGGCACTTTGTCTGGTATTTCTATCTGAGGCTGTTAGACCCCTGACCTATTAACTTTTTCAAGTGCATAGTTAGAAAACGTGAACTTTCTTGTTTTTGTATCCCTGGTACAGCATAATTTTAAAGATCAATTTTAGATATTTTTTGAATAGTTCTCCTCTAGAGATTAGTTTATAAAATACAATTCAGTAAAAAAAAAAAAAAAAGTACAGTTCAGCCACCATCAAATTAGAAAACCTTGGAGTGTCAAATACTCCCATCCATTAAAGCAATTTCCATCAATATCAAGTCCTGCTTGTCTGATGTTGTCCAATTAAGAACAATGTGAAACAGGAAGTGTCTAGAGATGCTGATTCTCATTTTCTTTTTCCTTCCTTTTTTTTATTCCCATTTTCATTAGTAACAAAGGTCAGTGCTCATTTCATCTAATTCCCCTTCTATGGATCTGAAACCTGATGTTACCATGCAATTGAGCAATCGAGTTATACAAACGTAGTTCCTTGGCCATAAAAATTTAAAATGATCGATGGTGGATTTCCCATTAATTTTTAAAGTGCTTTGATTGCTCTACATTATTATAATATTTATGTCAAGTCATTTTTTGAAACTGACATTATCTCTCTAATTTTGCAGTGATTCCTTAATTTGTTGATCAGCTGATCTGTTGATTCACTAGGTAGAAAATTACTAGGTAGAGCAGAGGTATTTTTTAATAAATACCGATAAATTTTTATTTCATATTGCTATTCAAAAGGTCAATTCTGTTTCTTTTCTGAATCTGACCAGATAAAGGTCTATATTCAGAGGTGTTAGCAAAGTCCCCTGAACATCCAGAGGAGTGAAATGAGAAAGGTACCTTAAAAAGCATACAGGTGCCATACTAAGAAAAAAAGTTCACCCAAAACAACCAGACTACAAAACTGTACAGTCTAATATCATAAAAAAAAATTGAGGACAAAACAGCAGGAATCTGGTCAGACTGTGGATAACTGTTTCTTATTGAAATGTACCTGGGTTCAGAAAAATCCTAAGGAACATTATCCAGATATTAGCAATAGATAATATGGGGGTGACAATAGCCAAGACACTGAGTTTTTTACTGGAAGTGTTCTCAGGAGCCTGGGTCCAATCTCCTCATTTCCCAAATGTGGAAGCTGAGGCCAGTGAGATAAAGGTTATGCAGGTAGCTAACTCCAGATCCAGGTGAAAGCACGGTGGAAGATAAAGGGCCAGTTCCAGTATCAAAGTTCAAATCCTGGTTTACTGCTTATTGGTTGTATAATATTTGGTAAATTCCTTGACCTCCTAGAACATGCTCTCTTTTGGATTAAAACAAACATGGATTAAAACAAACATGTAAAGGATCTGGCACATAGGAGGTACTAAAACTAAAATAAACTTAATAAATATTTATTTTTTTCATTTTCCCTTCTGTGCTAGGATGCCATAAAAATAAAGAACATCACTATTTTCTTAGAGGTCAAAACCTTATGTTTCTGTTTCCTTTTTTCTTTCTTTTTTTTTTTTTTTTTTGAGACAGAGTCTCTTTCTGTCACCCAGGCTGGAGTGCAGTGGCACAATCTCAGCTCACTGCAACCTCCACCTCCCAGGTTCAAGCGATTCTCCTGCCTCAGCCTCCCAAGGAGCTGGGATTACAGTTGTGCACCACCATACCCGGCTAATTTTTATATTTTTAGTAGAGACAGAGTTTTACCATTTTGGCAAGGCTGGACTCAAACTCCTGACCTCAAGTGATCTGCCCACCTAGGCCTCCCAAAATGTTGGGATTACAGGTGTGAGCCTCAGTGACCAGCTTCAACTTTCTATCTCTATCCTGTTTGTTTGTTTAAAGAGGCTGGATTGAGCATAGACATGATAAGAACCTCCACATTAGGTTAATTGTTCAAGCAATTATTTTCCCAGAAATTGTCCTATTAAATTTCAAACCTGCCAGGAGAAAAATATGGTTATTACTTCCTATAAAGGGAAGATGTGAACAGACATCTCTTCTCCTAGTCCCTCTAATACACTTGAGATAAAGCGTGGTTGATAAATTAAAGGGTCAGCACACAGAGGGGCTAGACGTTGCAAGCATTTGGGGAATCTCTGAGTGGGATGCTTTAAGTTCCTGATGGCTGTATGTTGCTGGGTTGGAATGGATGAGCTGAGTGTGATATTGTCAACTTTCATGAGAGAAGACAGGACTAGAGAATCTGGAGAAGTATACATCTTGAAAGAACACACTTCAAGGAGGGTCGAGGAGCCTGGCTCTGAGATTAGAGAGAGGAAACAATGGGTTCTTAGGGGAGAGCCCAAAGAGATAGCAAAGGGATTGCAAAAACAGCAGTGTGGATTTAAAGTCCCAAGAGTAGCATGAAGTCCAACAGGAAAGAAACTTTTTCCTTGAATAATCAAAAGGGAGTTGAAGAAAGTAGCTCAGGATAGAACTAGAAGGTAGTAGTTCCTTAAATTCAGGGACCAGTTGTTATTCATCATTGTATTTTCAACCCTGGCACAAAAGAGCTATTCAATAAGTGTTTACCGAATTAACAAATGGAAAAAGAGCTCTGAAGCCCAGGGCCTGGGGACGGTGTATGTATGTATGTAGGGAGAGGAAGTGAGCAATGTTTAGAAATCTAGAAAGATCCTATTACCTGGACCAAACCAAGCAAATGTGTTTGCCAAAAATATGCTCTTATCCTACAGGAAATACAGCTGGACAACTGACCCATGTATGTTCTGGGCTTCAGGGAATAAGGTGCCCATTTCCACTCTGATCAGCCAGATTTATCCCCAGCCCTTGACAAGCCTAGAAACTGTACCCTGTTCCTGACACCCCCATTATCCCCATGCCTCAGCATTTTATGGGAAATGGGAAGGGCTTCAAACCAGAGCTGATCCTTCTAGGATTCAGCAGGTTGTTTTATCTCGTCCTGTCTGACCCCAGTGTCTTCCCTTCCAGTACACCTTGAACACCTGTGAGACATAGAAGCCTTGGGAAAAGTAGCCATGGATACCAGCCTTTGGTTCAAGGGCTGTTCCGTATTCACCCCCCTTAATCAATATCCTGCTGGTCTATACCAACACTCCATTCATGGGTTTTCCTCTAGCTTCCATCCCCTTTTCCATCGAAGCTGCTAAATTTGACAGCCAGCTTTGCGACTGTCTAACCAGCTCAGATACTGGCCTCATCTGGACCGTTGAAATGTCCTCCTTGGTTTTAGTGCTAAAATGTTGCATTACCTCCCTCTCCTATTTCCTTCCCCACCAACACGGACAATAACTTAACTAGCTCCTCTGAGCTCATGACAATGTAATAAGTAAACTAGGTATAGGACTCCAAGAAAAGCAGGTGCCCAGCTCAGAGTTTTACACTTGTATTCTGTGTCCCCAAATGTTCATATAGACCATCTTTTAAATCCGTATAGATTTCCATTCTTTACACAATTATATAGATTACCATCGCCTAAAGTTTCTACTCAAATGTCACCTCCTCACACAAAGGCCTTCCTTGGCAGCCTTTTAAAAAATTGCACACCCTTCCTTCACACCCTATTTTTTTGCTGATTCATTTTCTTTACATCACTTATCCTGAGTTTGAAATATGACATATGTGTGTGTTTCCCTGTTTCTTGTTTATCATAAGACTAGAAAGTAAGTTCTTTGAGAACAGCTACTTTGTCCATTTATCATATACCTGGTGCCTGGAACAATATATCACAAAATAAGTATCAATTAACTATTTGTTCAGTAAATGAATGAACA
Source organism: Homo sapiens (assembly GCF_000001405.40). Taxonomy (NCBI): domain Eukaryota; kingdom Metazoa; phylum Chordata; class Mammalia; order Primates; family Hominidae; genus Homo; species Homo sapiens. Next base: position 109,766,099 of record NC_000011.10, read on the forward strand.
AACCTCAAGCCCATATAGAAGTGATTCATGATTATGCAATCGGAGCCATCAGATAGTGAGGTCGCAGACTTGATTTGATGATGTCCTGAGGAGACTGAGTGGCCGCACCACTTGAGGACAGATAATAAACTCAATCATAAATAAGGATACAGTAGGCTACTTTTAAGTATTCTTATAAATATTAGAAAGTATTCTATAGCCTGTTTCCTAACTTACCCTTCTTCAATGGAGAAATCCTGGTGACAAAAGTAATTAAATCAGCCTTTTTCTTACTATCCTGGCATAAATCATTGTTATAGGCACGTAGAAACCTGGGTGCTTTCCAGGGTGCATTAGATATTATTCTGTCTCATCTGTTTGAATGAGTAATAATAAACATATACACTTGTATGAAATATCAAGATTTATAGTTTCTTGGAGTTGATATTGATTTCCATTTTACTTGAATCAAATGTTATTTCTTTGGTCAGTATATTTTGGGAGTTGTCTTACTGGTCACTGACATCTGTTTTCATTGGGAGTCTAAACTAACAACTGTATGTATGTATCTGTATTCCTATGGCTCCTGGATGCTATAGGGGAATAGATCCCATCAGGTGGATGTCCCTACCCTGGAGAAAAACCCCGATCTGACATGCCACATGTGAAGGCTCATGCAGGCCTATATTCAGATGCATAAACCCTTCTTCTTTGTGGGCATTAACTTCTTTACATGAACCGTCTTCATCTGCCCCACAAAACCCCATATAATTCAGATAATCATTCTAATTGAAGAGCAGCAGCCAAATAACACATATAATAGAAATTGTGTGTGTCATAGCTAAAGGCACAACATGAGCTAAGTTTTCCAACATGGGAAAACAACTCACAAATCTGTATATCAGGCCTCTTAATGTACATCTTTTGTGAAAAAGAAATCTGTGATTGAATTAAGATATATATAAATTTAAAGTGGCAGCATTCAAATGAAGGCTAAATTCAGTTCTCTGTTTTAGCAATTCAGTCTCATTTATTCACTATAACTTCTGAGTTGAAACAACCAACTGATTATAGCCATCAGAAATAAATATGAAATTAACTGGACACTGCCCCATGAAAAACAGAAGAGGTTCTTCAATGCAGAATGATGTTCTTAGTTATTCCACATATTGGCAGCAGAACAATCTCATCCAGGATTCTGGAAGATACAGATGACAAGGGAAAAATAACAACAACCTTCCAGAAGGGAACCTGACATTTTCTGGCAAAAATACAGAATAGGTTCTGTATTTCAAAGGATTTTGAAAGAAGCTCTCCTGTTCTTCTTTGGTCCATGCCTCTCAGGCTTGGTAGAGAAATTGTTTTTTCAAAATAACATCTTATTTAACCCCAATACTCCTGAATATTATGTTAACATAGAGTCAATAAAAATATTATAATGAGATGTTTTACATATTTTCCCTTTTCTCATACTGTGTTTTGAAAATCCAGTGTATAAAAATTTCCAAGGAACAAACAACCCTATTAAAAAGTGGCCAAAGGACATGAACAGACACTTCTCAAAAGAAGGCATACATGCAGCCAACAATCATATGAAAAAAAGCTCAACATCCCTGATCATTACAGAGAGAATTTTCCTTGTAAAGGCTCATTTGCTCTGGAGAAGAGACTTTACAATACTTCACTATGTGATCGGTTTAAGGAGGTCATTCCGGGAGGCCTGGATTCATAAAAAAATTATCTGGAAGTACATATCTAAATTATACATTGGCAGAAATTAAATATTTGAGTACAGAAAAGTTAATAAATTATAAGTCTCCTGTAGTGTTGCACTTGCTGTTGGAACATACAGAGGCAGGAAGAGGCTTGATTTTATTGGTGGTGAGAGGGAGTTTAAAATGTGTAAAAGTGGCTGCCTCTCTCTGGGCCAACGTGGGGACTTTGTCTCTAAGGGCTAGAGGGTCACTTATCCCACACTCTATGCAAGAGGATGTTCTGTCCTGAAGGGGGGACCCTTCAAGAGAGGTCTGTTCTCCAAGGGTGGTTACTGAGAGGCACTTCCAATGCCAGGACCACTATCTCCCCATTTGAACACAGGAAACGTGGGATCTGGAGAGGCCTCTGCTGTTGGAACCTGAGTTCCCCATGCTCTATATACTGGGCTGCCACCACTGTGGAGGTAGAAACATGTGATGCTGTTTTGTGCTAAGACCCTCCACATCCCTCTTAAAGCGTTTGGGACTCATGAAGGGATGGTGTGAGTTTCCCCTCACCGTGTGAATCTGGAGTAGGTGCTCCTTCTAGATCTTCTTTTGCTGCCATTGTACCCACCCCAACTCTGACTTCTGGAGACCTCTGAAAGATCCTCCTCCCTCAGGGTGAGGGGACTAATTTGGTGATATCAAAGCCTGACCCCCTTGCTTTAAGGTGGGAGAACACAACCCAGACCCATCAGGAATAAGGCCAGGGCTCAATTTGACCAATTCTACAGCTTTGCTGGGCTCTTACCCCTTCCAGATCCCATTTTCTCCCTCCCTTGGGTGCTTCCCAAAGAGCACTTTGTCCCAGAGCCTGGTTGCAGAGAATCTAATCTACAACAGTGCCAGGACAGGCAAGTGCAGAATGACAGAGTTTAACTGAGAGGTTAAATGTGCCAGCATCATTCTCTTTGGAAGAATCCCTGAAACAGACCTGGAGTAAAAAAAAAAAAACACCAACTTGACTGCACAATTTCCCTAGTCAAATCTAGCCCCTGAGACTCGACCTCACCAGAACCCAAGTAAACAATGGCACTGGGATCTGCCCTCCCACCTCTGCCTCCAACTCTTCTCAAAGGAGTAAGTCACAGTCAGTCTGTTTAAAAAACCGAGAACCAGAATTTTAGATGTTCTTCTGTCCTCTTGCCACATCTAAGAAGCTCCAAATGGCATAGAAGTATAGAAATCAGTTAAAAAGATATGCTTTTTATCCTATAGGCAATTAAAGCAACAAAAGATGATAACATTCACAGTGATATTACATTTTCTTCTTTTAGAACACAGAATCAGTGTAAACTCTAAAATCTGCTGTGGGATAAAAGGGATGAACCTGAAATTCCTAATTATACTTGTGTGGGAGTGTGTAGGCTGGTCCCTACAGCTGTGTGCAGAAGCAGAGTGATACAGGGGTTGGAGGATGGGTTTGGTCAGGGCCCTCTGTGAAATGTCCCAACAGCCCTCAGTGCTGCTCCTTTCCAGCCCCACATACTCTTGCAAACATTGAATTAACTATTTGAAATGCTTTGTCTACTTCCTTTCCTGGCCATAAGTTCCATGACTATAAGATACATGTTATCTGTTCATTAAAACCTATTTTACCTCCTCACCCCAAATAGCATGACTCATCAACGGTAAACAGCTCTCATCTTTGGATTTAGAAGACCAAGCTCTACTGCTAACTAGCTATGTGACCTTGAGTGAGTTACTTAACCTCTCTGAGTCTTTGTTTCCAAATAAATAAAATGAGGATTATAATAGCATCTATTTATTGTGACAATTAAGTGAACTAAAGCCCATGAGAGACTTAGCACAGTGTCTGCCATATTATATGCACTCAATAAGTGGTAGCTATTATGATAATCTGTTATTATACTATTATATCAAGCCTTTATTGTTTACAGCACTGAACAAAGGAATATAAAGCTTGAGTTCTTGCTTACAACCATAGGATCACGTCTATGTGAATATTCTTCCCCACACCCCCCTCTTACCTCTTCTTTCCCCTTCAATCATGCTTTTACTGCATCAGACCAGAATCTTCCCACCTAATTTGGATGATTTATTTTTGTTTCCAAATATAACACTTATTTCTCCAGAGCACTCACCTCTAAGTAACAAGATTTGTGGGGGTCATCTGAGTGGGCAGCTCTCAGTGCAATATACAAGAGCACATTAGCACACCCAGTGGCCTCAAGGCTGTTCAAGCCTGTGATTTACAAGGTGCAGCGTGAAAGGTAGGGACTGCAGCTCTGAGCTGGACACAGAGCTTGGAGCAGAGCCTGGATCTCCCACCAGATCAGACCAGCTTGTGCCTCTGAGCGGCATCCCCTCTCTCCTCCTGACCATGCCCATTCATCTGCCAGCTGAGCCTCTGCAGCTCTCCCTCGTGCTGAGGGTGCAAGCACTAAAGGCCTGAGACTGCGATGAGATTGGCAGATGCAGAAACTCCCTGCTTACCTGTAACACACTTGAATATGTTTAATACCAGCAGCCTCAGAGTGAGCATGTTCCTCTCTAGACCCTGCTCACCAAGCCCAATTGCAGTATTTTCTGTTATGAGCTTGCTGCACTGAAGGCTCCATTGTACTTTTCATTATTGGCAAAGATTTTCTAAGATTAATATTGAGCTAGAGGTCTGCTATCAATTTGGTGCCACAAGAATACAAAGCAGAGAATTTCTAGGCTGATTTGATTACTAGTGGCCTGAAAACATATGTAATTGAGTGTATTTGCCTTGCATACATAGGGGAATTATATAGCCATTAATCCTACATTATTCAGGATATGCTTTCTGAGGCAGAACTTCTTTATCACATCTCTGATTGGAAATGTGCTATGCTACCACTGCAAAAGATTACTGGGGGATGAATATAACTATGTCATTGTAGAAAACATAGACACTACTTCTTAGGTTATTGTGTTCTTCAACAAAGTTTTTGAGAATGTCATGGCCTTTGGAATTTATACCTTCTTAAATACAAAGTCGTATATGTCAATCATTAGATAAGTTTTATTTTCATTTAGTACCTCCTATTTGGAAAACTCTTCCATGAATCAGCTTATATTGTATTATCATAACTTGAAGGACTGACTGGAAACATTAAGAAAGACAGGGATGCCTTTCCTAGATGGGATTGGAGACTATTATTCTAAGTGAAGTAACTCAGGAACAGAAAACCAAACATCGTATGTTCTGCACTCCTCAGTGGGAGCTAAGCTATGAGGATGCAAAGGCACAAGAATGAGACAATGGACTTTGGCGACTCCGGGGGGAAAAGGGGTGAGGGATAGAAGATTACAAATTGAGTTTGGTGTATACTACTTGGGTGATGGGTGCATCAAAATCTCACAAATCGCCATTAAAGAACTTACTCATGTAATTAAATACCACCTGTTCCCCAAAAACCTATGAGAATTAAAACTCAAAAAAAAAGAAAGACAGGGTAACCTCCAGCAATACTGGCCACATGCGTAGAGACCTTTTTTAAAATTTATGATTGACACATAATAGTAATAATTACATATATTTACGGAGTACAACATGATGTTTTAATACAGGTATAAATTGCATAATGATCAAATCAGAGAAATTACCAAGTTTGTCACCTTAAATATTTATCATCTCTTTGTGATGAGAATACTCTTCTAGCTATTTTGAAATATATAATACATTACTGTTAACTCTAGACATCCTACTATGCAGTAGACCACCAGAACTTACTCCTCCTGTCTAACTGTAACTTTGTACCAATTGACTAACCTTACCATCCCTCCCTCACCTACCATTCCCGTCCTCTGTTAACTACTATTCTATTCCCTACTTCTATGAAACAATTTGGATTCCACACATGAGCAATATCATACAGTATTTCTCTTTCTATGTCTGGCTTATTTCACTTAATGTCCTCCAGGTTCACTCACTTTACTGCAAACGACAGGTTTTTATTATTTTGTGGCCAGGTACTATTCCATTATGTATACATACATTTTATTTATCCATTCATCTGCTGATAGGCACTTAGGTTGATTTCATATTTTGTGTATTATGAATAGGGCTGCAATAAACATAGGAGTGCAGATATATCTTTGACATACTGATTTCATCAGGGAACTGCAAATCAAAGCTACAATAAGATATCACCTCACTCCAATCAGAATGCCTACTCTCAAAAAATCAAATGTAACTAGTGTTGGGGAGGACATAGAGAAAAGGGAAACCTTACACATTTCTGATAGGAATGTAGGTTAGTACAGCCATTGTGGAAAACAGTATGGTGGTCCTTCAAAAAATCAAAAATAGAACTACCATATGATCTAGCATTCCCACTGCTTTTTATATAGCCAAAAGTATGGAGGTTTGATGAGAAAATTAAAAACTGGGGTATTGTCCTCATTTTCACACATGGATAAAGTGCAAGTAAAGAAGTTTTCATGGTCTTAAATAGAGCAGTTAAATTCCAGCACTTTTTACCATCCTAAACTGTTTGATTTTTGTCACCAGCTCTCCATCCAAATTATTCCCAATAGGCTCCAGAGTAGCCTTTTTCAAAAATATTTCTGCAAAACACTAGTCTAAAATATACCCTTACTCCTTCCTCAGTCAAATACTCTAAATAAAAAGCACTCCTTAGTCAAATAAGATTTGGGAATACCATATTTTATATGTTGTATTTGGATATTTGTAATTCATAACATAGACTGTGAAGTCCTTTGGTGAAGAGACTCATTTAATTTTGGATTGCCCAAATTTATTTGATAAGGAATCTTTGAGTTATAATGTATTATAAAACCAACTTTAGAGAAAGTTCTATTAGGACATATGCTGATCATTTACTTTTATGTGAAATAATCATCTCTCTTCTCAGCATTCACAGGAAACACAAAAAGTGGCTGAACTAAGTGAGATCAACAAGTGAACACTTAATCTTTCTTCGACAAAGGGATAAAGAAAAGTTGGTCTTTTTTTAATTCAGTATTTTGTGATGAAGGTAAAGTGTCTATATCCACATTGCCTGCACAGACTGCAGGAACCATCTGCTGAGCTTGGTAGTAGCCCCTCCCATCCTCACACTTCCCTTCCCAAGCAATGTGTGGTCCAGGTTATGACTTCTTGGAGCATGTCTACAGTTACCATAGCTACTCCTGAGCAGGCACTGCCTGAATGCACCTGGTGCTGCTCTATAGCTCCACAGCCAGCCCTACAGATCACAAATGTCTCACATGGCTCTCCCCTTCCAGTGATATAATTGGATCCATTGCTCATCTGTCATGCCCAAAGTAGAAACAGACAACAGGCCATCTGTTCCACCTCTCTGAGTTCTTTTCCTCAGCATGAGGCCCCATCTCTTCTGTTCATTGTTACTATAGTAAGGTGCACCCATGGTAACGATGAACTGTGTGGCCTTGGAGCTACCCACTTAGCTGCCTGAGGTACACTGACTCAGTGTCAACTCCTTCATTAGTTACAAGGGCTGCTCTTACCAACCTCTGAGAATAAAAAACAAATCTAAATGCTTTGTATTTCCTGGTGATGCTTTCTTGGGCTTGTTTAATACATTTTATGGCCCATTGTCTTCTGCAAATGGTTGGGTCTGTTTTAACCAAGTGTGAAGAATAATTAAGATCATTCCAAGTCAAATGAAGTGTTCAAATACATTGGAAGAGGACTTCAAGTGCTGTAAATGTCTCATTACCTCTGACATGATGTAACAGGGTATGTTTTAGCTCTGTTGCATTCCACTAAAATGTCTATGCTGGGGCTTTGCCTTACACACCATCTCCACTTATCTGCGCATCAAGAACTGTCCCCCAACTGCCACCTGTGCTCCAGGTGCTATAAAAGTACACCAGGCTAATAAGAAAGAAACTGATGCTTGGATGGAGCTCAGCAAAGTCTTGAAGCGCCTTCTGGCAAACTCACCTATAGGGCAATAGTGAGGTGTTGGCAGCTACTGAGAGATGACTTACCTCCAACTGCAGCAAGATAAAAAGCAAATGTGTCTCTTTCACCCAGGAATATATGCAATCATCCTTCAAATGGTAACAGGTGGAAGTGGTAGCAGACAGGTGTGGATGAGCTCCCTTCCTCCTTCTCCCTCTGAGGATCTCACTGGTTCCTAAGCCCAGAAGCATCCCTCTCCACAAAGATGAAATCAATGGATTCTGATTTGAGAAGAACCACCACTCCCCCAGCAATCCTAAATTTATATATAAACTAATAGCTAATAAGCACTATTTTTCTAGGCACTATGTTAATGCCTCACATATGTTGAAATTTGTCTAAGCGATAATTCCTTCAAGTAGTTTCCATTATTGTATTTTATATTTAAGAAAATTAAGGCTTAGAAACTTATTTACCCACAAACCATATACCCTTGATAAAGCAGGAATTCAAATCCATGTCTGTGTGACTCTACGTAAACTCTGTCATGCTGCATGTTCCTATACTTCCTGTTCCCATAGTCTACGTATTTCCAGATACCCATTACTCAGTTGCCATGCCCAACGATTATGTGTTCTATTTGCCACAATATTTCCTGTTATTTCCCCTACTTCTGTGGCTTCCCACCTTCTTCAACAGATATTTTTGCAACCTCGACCCTTCCTGTCTGCTCCAACCTGCTCTTGTCAACCAGACCACATCCAGTCAAACCCCAGGGTACAACACCTCTATTCCAAAAAGATATGCTTAGGATAGAAAAATTATGATGCATAAAAAGCTGTCCACCATGCTTCACTGCCCATGAGAATGACTAGTAATGCTTTTATATAACACTTTACAGATAGCAATTCAATTTAACATTACCTTATTTAATATGAACAAATAGTTCAAGTTTCAAATAGCAAAATTATTCTCTGCAAGTAAGCCTGTCTATATACAAACTGGCACTTGAGACATTCTCCAGTAAAGGAGGGAAATGTCTAAGCCAACAATAAAGTGCATTTAAATAAATTCGTAAAAGTCATTTTTGTTTCTTTCTTCAATTCAAAATTTACATTTGCACTTTTTCACAAACCTGGTTTATTTGTATTTCACAAGTCTACTGCTTTGTAACCTAGAACAAGTCTCCATTAACTTATTTTTATTGAACAGACAAGGCAGTGGTTTATCAAATAAGCAAATAATTACTGTGTTGGTTCATTTTCATATTGCTATAAAGAACTGCCCGAGACTGGGTAATTTATAAAGGAAAGAGGTTTGACTCACAGGTCAGCATGGCTGGGGAGGCCTCAGCAAACTTACAATCATGACGGAAGGCAAAGGGAAAGCAAAGCACCTTCTTCACAAGGCAGCAGGAAGGAAAAATGCTGAGTAAAGAGGGAGAAGCCCCTTATAAAGCCATCAGATCTCATGAGAACTCACTCATTATCACAAGAACAGCATAAGGGAAACCACCCCCAAGAATCAATTACCTCCACCTGGTCTCTCCCTTGACACGTGGGGATTGTGGGAATTATAATTAAAGATGAGATTTAGGTGGGGACACAAAGCCTAACCATATCAATTACCTCGGGTTAAAAGTACTATTTTAGGCCAATATTTTGCAGATATGCTGTTATTCTTTCCTAGAGTGGACATTAACTTCCAAATAACCTTCAGCTATATTACTAGTAAACTATGCATACTGACTGTTTATCTATGTAAAAATTAATACGTATCTGAACATTCTCTGTCAAATCCTAGGCCATCCTGGCTTGGCCTAAGACCACCCTCAGGTTGAATGATTTGTTATAAAGACTCACAGAACTCAGAAAAACTGTTATACTCATGTTTATGGTTTATTGCAGTGAAATAATACAGACAAAAATCAGCAAAGGCAAAAGACACATAGGACAGATTCCAGGAGAAGCAAGACATGAGTTTCCAGGTGGCTTCTAGTGGAGTCATCAGATAGCACTTAATTCTTTCAGAAATGGTGTGTAAGAACACATACAAAATATTGCTAGCTGGGGAAGCTCACCTACGCCTTGGTGGTGGGGGTTTTTATTTGGAACCAGTCACATAGGTATGGAGTTCCCACAGTCTGACCTTAACAACTCAGTCTCCAGCACCCCCAGAGGTCAGCCTGGCTCAGTGTATTAGTCCGTTCTCACACTGCCATAAAGGACTACCTGAGACTGGGTAATTTATAAAGAAAAGAGGTTTAATTAGCTCATGGTTCTGCAGGCTGTACAGGAAGCATGGCTGAGAAGGCTTCAGGAAACTTACAATCATGGCAGAAAGTGAAGGAGAGGCCAGCACATCCTACATGGCCGGAGCAGCAGGAAGAGAGAGAGAGTGAGCAAAGGGGAAGGTGATACATACTTTCAAACGACCAGATCTCATGAGAACTCTATCAACTCTATCACGAGGCAACACTCAACGGATAGTGCTAAACCAATAGAAACCACCCTCATGATCCAATCACCTCCCACCAGGCCCCACGTCCAACACTCAGGGTTACAATTCAACATGAGATTTTGGTGGGGACACAGAGCCAAACCATATCACTCAGGAACCCAGGGAAACAAACTCCAGCATTCATGATAAATCACATTGTTAACATAAACTATTGTTATAAACATAAAGGCATTCATCATAAATCACACTGATAACATAAACACACTATTATGTGGACCAAGATCTCAGGTAGACAAAGACACTCTTATTAGGCAGGATATTCAAGGGCTTACAGGTTATCTTTCAGGGACTGGTTAATGGCCAGCCTATTTTTTGCAATGTGCAGGGATCAAGTACCCCCAAGTTAACTCCATGCTACACAGAGACCTATTGAACAAATTTATTTTTGAATATTGGCTTAAACTTCTCTAGTTAGCTTTATGCTGATTATCTTCATTAATTCAAAAATGCAGTGGGCCTGTAGCAGTCCTAGAAGCAATGTAGACAAACATGATAAAAATGTAGTAGATCTAAAGCTTTTTAAATACCCCTAAATAGCCCTTCTTAATTAAAGAGAGTGGGGGCATTACTGAATTATTAATAGATGGCTGTTAAATTGTAGACCACATTGACACATTTATGTAGATAAGTCTCTTTGCTTTACAACCAAGAATGACTGCATGTGTTGCGTGTACACTTTAGAGAATAGTAAGGCCCTTTGTATAAGCAATGTGTTCCAAACCAGTGTGTTTGGTTTGATGGAACTCTTGTGAAGGAGACAGCCGGATACAGCAGAGAGTGCATCAGGGTTTCTGGTTCTGCTCCTTAACAGCTGTGGCTTGGTTGGCAAAATTGCCATCTTTGGATTCTAGTTTCCTGATGCATATATCTGGATTGTGTATTCCAGACATAAACAAATATCTGGACTGTGTAGTCCTTCAGATCCCGCGCAACTGTTAGTGCTGTTCACCAGATGATCCTGGTTTTCTGCTTCCTGGGGATCTGTTAGGATTGCACTCTCTCAAAGTCTTCTTTTGATCCATGAAATGTGAGTGGAAGTGACACATGCCACTTCCAGGTAGATGCCTTAGGAGCTAATATGTTATTTGCTATGTGTCATGCCCTCTGCTGTGGTGACCATGGAACACCTTTTAAAATGGATAATCTGGGCCGGTCATGGCGGCTCACACCTGTAATCCCAGCACTTTGGGAGGCCGAGGCGGGTGGATCACCTGAGGTCAGGAGTTCGAGACCAGCCTGACCATAGTGAAACCCCGTCTCTACTAGAAATACAAAAAAATTAGCCAGGCGTGGTGGCACATGAATGTAATCCCAGCTACCTAGGAGGCTGAGACAGGAGAATCACTTAAACTCGGAAGGCAGAGGTTGCGGTGAGCCAAAATTACACCACTGCACTCCAGCCTGGGCAACAAGAGCGAAAATCCATCTAAATAAATAAATAAATAAATAAATAAAATGGATAATCCATCATCCTCCTGCCCCTGACAAGCCACATTGGACATATGGCCTGAACCCAAAATAAACCTATATTTTTATAAGCCACTAATTTGGGGGCTGCTTGTTGCCATAATATAAAATTTCACTTAGCTTCATTGACATATCTTTTCAGTTCCCATCACAGTCTCAGTTGTTCATAATGGGCAAACAAACATCTCATGTCAGGTCTGTTATCCACTCTCACCCCAACCTTCCAAAGCTCAGTAAGAGATCTTGCCAAAAAAGTTTATACAGCAGTTGCTTCTTATCCCTGCTAAACAATCTTGACTCTGCCATCCTTCAGGGCTAAAGTCCTCAAGATCTGCCTCATGCATCAGCCCACCAGCTTCCCATCTTCAAATTCTTTTCAGATATCTTTGCCTTTCCATCTCTTACTCCAAAACACTGATTCTTAGAATGAGCGAACCTCAACTCGTACACCCTCCAGTTCACCCTCATTACTGCCAGCCCTATTATGTTAGTTTCCTAGAGCTGCTGTAACAAAGTAGGACCAACTGAGTAGCTCCAACAACAGAAAATCATTGTCTTACATTTCTGGAAACTCAAAGTCCAGGATCAAGGTGTCAGCAAGGAAGGTTCCTTCTAAAGACTGTGAGGAAGATGCTGGTCCAGGCCTCTCTGATAGCTTCTGGTGGTTTGCTAGCAATCTTTGGGGTTCCTTGGCTTGTAGATATGTCACCCCAGTCTCTGCCTTCAGGCTTACATGGTGTTCTCCTTGTATGTGTGTCTCTGTGTCTGAATTTCTACTTTATATGAAGATACCAGACCTACTGCATTGGGAGCTTACCCTAGTCCAGTATGGCCTCATCTTAACTAATTACATCTGCAATGATCCTATTTCCAAATGAGGTCACATTCTGAGGTACTGGGGTTAGGACTTCAACACATGAATTTTGAGGGAGACACGATTCAGCCCATAACTACTCTTTTCTAGCTCTTCTGGAGACACATTTTCCTGAAAGACTCAACTCTATGTCTGGTAATCCTATCATTACCATTACCACCATCCCCTTCTGAAGTCAGACCTTCAGCCTGTACCCAGATTTATATTCCTTCTGGGATCTTGCATCTTGCTTAACTAGATTGTTCTATAATTCACAAGAAAGTATAAAACACTCTCTCAGCTGGGTACAGTGGCTCATGCCCGTAATTCCAGCACTTTGAGAGGCCGAGGTGGGCGGATCACTTGAGGTCAGGGGTTTGAGACCAGCCTGGCCAACATCATGAAACCCCTCCTCTACTAAAAATACAAAATTAGCCGGGTGTGGTGGTGCACACCTGTAATCCCAGCTACTTGGGAGGCTGAGGCAGGACAATTGCTTGAACCTGGGAGACAGAGGTTGCAGTGAGCTGAGATCACGCTGCTACACTCCAGCCTAGGCAACAGAGTAAGACTCTGTCTCAAGCAAAAAAAAAAAAGAAAAAGTATGAAACACTCTCTCATAGACTCAGCTAATTTTTCAAGCAAACAATTATTTTAAACTTTCATCTACTGGGAATCTAAGGCATTCCTGGTTCCCTAGGATCTCACAACTTCAGCAGGGAGAAAAATCTATATATATTTAAGACCTTCTCACAGTTAATATCATGTAACCCTTCAACAATTCTGTGAGAAGGCATTACTATCACAGTTTTGCAAATGAGGGAAAAGATGTTCAGCAAAAAGACTTTGATATTGCTATAATCCAAAATATCAGAAAGCACAAGATATTGGAAAGTAAGGGAAGACACAGAAAATGTCAAATCCAGCTGAACCTTACACCAGTTGGAGAATGTGGAGGAAAAGGTCAGTACTGAAAATATTCTGTCTGATGTGTGATCCCCAGTTTTCATAGTGTTCATTGGGGTAGGAGGGAGGAGAGCTCCCTGAGGGCACTCTTGCGAAGCTGTGGTTTCCAGGAGCACAGCATAGCCTGTACTTCCAATCATTTTTTTCCGCATACTTTGACAGTAGAAGAAAAACACCACCATAAAAATTATAATTTTTAGGATAAGAGTAAATTAATCAATGGAAAATGTTTATTTTGTATGGTGTTAGGAACTCAGGAGATTCCTGTACTGAAGTCCTGACCTCCAGCACTTCAGAGTGTGACCATACATGTGTATTTGAAGATAGGATCTTTATTGAGGTAATTCAATTAAAATGAGACCCTAAGGTGGGGCCCTAATTTTATATGACTGGTGTCCTTATAAGAAGAAGAAATTTGGACATAACCACATGCACAGGGAAGACAAAGTGAAGGCAGCAGGGAGGAGATAGCCATCTAAAAGCCAAGGAGAGAAACCTGGAACAGGTCCTTCCTTCATGGCCTTTGGAAGGAACCAATGCCGATGACACTTTGATCTTGGACTTCTAGCCTCCGAAACTGAAAAAACATTAATTTCTAGGAGAATTGCTTGAGCCCAGGAGGCGGAGGTTGCAGTGAGCCGAGATCGCGCCACTGCACTCCAGCCTAGCCGACAGAGCGAGACTCAGTCTCAAAAAAAAAAAAACAAAAACGTAACTTCTATTGTTTAAGCCACCCAGTCTGTAGTACTTTGTTATGCACCCCTAGCAAACTAATACATCTGGCTACTTCTTTTCAATGGAAAGAGAATTGATAAGAGATCAAGACTTAAAGACAATGCAAAGCTTCCCCCAACCCTTTTTTTTTTTTTTTTTTTTTTGCAACTTAAGAAAATTTCCATTAATGGGTTCACTAATTTGTATATCCACACTGTGGCAAAAAATAACAGACATGGTTTAAATATTGTTACTACATGTGACACACACCCCTAGAAGAGTGATTCCTAAAGTAAAATGCAAATTTGTCACTTCTTTTTGGGGAAGAAAGTTAATTCGTGCTGTGTGGCAAGAGGAAGACAAGTTGACTAGGAGAACAAAAGAATAGATGAGAAAAGACATAGAAGAAAGAAATTGGAGGAACCATGAAGAAAGAAAGAAATCACCTAGAAGTTAAAAAAACTTGAAAGCCCAGGAACACTAAGATGGCATGCATCATTGTGATAAAGTGCCACGGGTTCTTTATGACATGTACTTAGGTAATTATTTGGCAGCCGGCTTGTCTTTATATCTTGTAAAATTTTAATGAAAGTATTATAGAGTCAATCATTAATCTTAGGTGATAAGCTAACATGCTAGCAACATAAAACCTCAAGAATACAAATGTATATTTTCATCATAGAACTGTAGTTAAAGATATACATGAGTCAGGTTGCTTGGGTTTGAATCCTAATTTCATAGCTTACCAGTTGTGTGACCTTGACAAAATTAGTCAACATTCTTTCGCTTCAGTTTCCTCATCTGCAAAAGAGAGTAGTAATATTACCTAATCCATAAGGCTATTAGGGTCAAATGAGTTAATAGAAATAAAGTTCTTAGAATAGTGCCTACAATATAGTGAGAATCATATAAATGTTTATTATAATCATCATCATCAATATAAATTGCAAAGGAATTAGTAAGCATTGGCCAATTGTCATGTGTGCTGTTTCTTTTGGGGATGTTACCCTGTATCTTTTTAATATCTAAAGTATTTGAAGGGAGCAGATTGTGTTGTGTGGGGAAGGGAGCCTTTTTTTTATTATTTCAAAGATGAAATTGAAAGAAAGGTGAAACTGAAAGAAAGCTCTCCTCAGATCCATATATAAAAATGAACAAATGATCAAATAAATGCTTTACCTATATATATCTGTCCCATGCTCTGAAATAACTCCTTTTTAAAAAAATTAATTTTTTTAACTTCCCAATTCTTCTTCAGTATTTTAGTGAGAATCAACCCTTATGAGTCTGAATTTCCAAAAGGAAAAGAAATAGTTCTCATTTTTCTGGCTTACAATTCAGTTTCCATTTCAAATGCTTTTTTTTTCCCTGCTTTGGAATTACGTTACAATTATCACAGAGATTTTGCTCATTTTAAGCAACAGGCCCCAGTATTTAGCCTTTGTTCATGAAGAGGACTGATTGCTGCTCAGACCATGTGCTCAACAGGAAATAAGCATTGATGTGATGATGGCTACTTCTGGGCCATATTTATATCCAAGCTTGAGCATCCATTTGGTGTGGGCCTCCCAATACCCAGAGTAACATAAACCACACACACACACACACACACACACACACACAAACCAACAAATGCTAAGTGAGGGTACTGCTTCAGAGGACCTATCAGAGGAGAGATGCTGGCAGAAACTGAGGTAGAGCTGCTAGGGCCTTATTTCTAGAACCTATGAGTTCTGAGTGCCTTTGCCTGGTGAATTTTTACCAGACAAGCTTTATATACCATGTCTGAGATGAGGGTGGCCTGGGTTCCAGAAAAGATCCAGCCTTTGGAAAAAATAGCCTCCTCATTGTTCTCCGAAATTATAATCATAATAGCTAAAAATCAAGTGTTTTGCTATGTGCCATTAAAAATACAAACTTCTTAACATCCATTATCACACTTATTCTTCACAACAATCCCATACATGTTATTACTATAATAATTTTAAAGAATAAGTCTTGGAGAATTTGAGTAATTTTCCCAAAATTAGAATTTCCAAAATAAAAATTAAATAGTAAGGAACAGAGCCAAGAATTGAAACCAGATCTGTCTGACTCCGTAGCCTAAGCTCTTAACCACTGAGCTAACATTCCCTTACTCTGCCGTGCTGACCACCATTTCTCCCCTTGGCGGTTCTTCTCTACACTACAGCCAGTTTTCTGCCTAAAGCCCAGCTCCAATCATGCCATTCCTCTGCGTATGATATGTGATGGCCGCCCACTGCCTACCAAACTCCTGAGATTGGCCTTCACGGTACTCTACCTCTCCAAAGTCATCTCACTGATGTGCTAGGCTCTAACCAAACCACATTTGCTGCTTTCAGTCATAAAGACAGTCCCCTGCCTCTCTGCCTTCGTGCTCACTGCCCTCTCTGCCTGGAATCTCTGTTTCATCATCTACACTCATTGAATAACCATCACTGCCACCAATGGCTACAACAACAATGGCTACCATTTATTGTGTCCTTACTTTACACCAACTTTGTGACCAGCCTTCTACCCAATGAGGCAGATACTATTATTATTTCAGTTTAAACGGGAAAATATTTTAAGGCTCAGCAATGCCAGGTCCAGGGTCCCACAGCTAATAGGTGGGCTTAGGAAAATTTGAACCCAATTGGCTGAAGACAGACTTGGAGTTCCCCACCACTATGCTATAGAGGTGGGTGGTGTCATGCCCAGCCTTTGAAGTCTCATGCACCACACATGAAAGCCACTTTGCTCAGCCTTTCTGATCCCCTAACAAAAATCAGCCATCAGCCCCTGCTTCCCACAGGGTCTCACACTGCTTGCCTCTGTTGTAAAAATTACTTCACTCTGTTTTATTTTAGCTGTGTCTCTCACCCACAAGATGCACTCTGCTTGAGGCCGTACCATCCATCTTTGCATCCTTCCTGAATCTAGTGCTATATCTGAAGCTCAGCAGGAGCTTCCTTGATGTGTTTTGAATTCATTCAATGACTGTTTATTGAACTCCTACAGAAATGATCTCAGCCCTGCCCGCAAGCTCCCTGGTGTAATTGTTCTTATCCTTTTTTGGTTCACACCCCCCTTTGAGAATCTGATGAAAGCCATGCATCTTTACAACAGAGAAACGCAACAACCAATGAAATTTTACATCCTTCTTCAGGTAGTTTGTGGATTCTGAGTTTAGAGTCTAATTGATTTGAATTCAATTATTAGCAATCGAACATTTCTTGTTATTTCTATTAATCAAGGCTTTTTTTCCCAAATTATAGAAATCCAACTCAGCTTAGTTTAGACAAAAGGAGTTTGTTTGCTTGTTTTATTTTGTTTTTTGGCATAGAGAGTCCAGGGAAATGATTACATTAAATAACAACAACACAAATAGAGCTGTGAGCTTGGTCTCTGAAACAAATGGAGCCAGATACTCAAATATTACTAGGATATGCTTCTTTCTGCAGATCATACCAGCTTCCTCCACCACTTGGAGGACAGAGCTTGCTGACCATTCCTGTGTTTCACTTCTCACCACAAGAGAGGGCTGCCCCTCCTCCATTTGTCACAATTTTATTAAAAATCCCAAGGAAGGATTCTGCTTGGCAAACTTGAGTGACACGTTGTCTCCCAAATAATTGGTTTTTGGAGAAAGAAAAGCCCCATAGAAAGGGGATGTTCTTCCCAGAAGAAGCAGGGGTAGAAGGTCGCTGCAGGGCTTCCCCTCCCCACCTCCTGGGCCCTTGTTTCTCACACACAGCCACCTGCCATCCCCTGCAGCCTCCCTCCCCAGGCAGCACTGTGAGCTGCCAACATCTGTGTGCTGCCCGCTTTCATTCTAGCACAGTCAAAACTTACATGCTCTATGTCACATCCTGTCAGGATGCAACTCTACTTTCTAAGGGCCAACTCTGCTTTCTAAGGCCCAGATTAATCTGGGCCAGGCTATTAAGGAAAAAACAAACAGCAAACAACAATTAAAATTCACCTTAGGGTCACTTTCTTGGGAGAAGGATAAACAGTTTGATCAGTGGCCATCTATAATAATTGTCTTAACCACAAGTAGAGCTAATAAATGGAAATCTGCCTGATGTTACCTGTGCAGACTTAAACAGCACCATGGATGGGGAAAATAAGGATTAGAGAGCTACTTTTATAGATCACACAGCAAACTGGTATCAGGCCCCAAGCCAGAGCTTACACCTCCTAATTCCAGTCCACTTATCTTCCTGCTCTATGCACTGAGGAAAGGTTTGGTTTGTCAGAAGTCCAGTAGGGCTCACCAGTCACTGCATCTGATTTGTTTCCTCACTAAGATAAATTCTGATGCTAATACTGTCCATTAAAAATATATGGAATTAGTCAGTGTTGTGGGAGACATATGTTAGAGGTGTCAGGAGCACAGGTTTCAGAGTCAGGCTGCTTGTGTTCATACCTTAGCTTTATGACTTACGTGCTTGGACAAGTTAGTTAATGTTTATGTGCCTCAGTGTTCTCATCTGTAAAACGGGCCCACCTACAGGTCTTCTAAAGTAATAGCCTCCTTTAGCATTTATTGTTCTCTGTGGTTTAGGTACTCTGGGTGTCAGCAGGCCCACACCAAGTAGATGCTCAATAGTGGCACTACTCACACGTTGGATTTTAGAAGAATACATTAATTCATGAAAATCATCACTTAGAACAGTGTCTGATGCATAGTAAACATTTAATGAATGTAAGCAATTATAATTAAAGGGGAAAAATGAAAGCATTTTAAGGGCAAAGGCAATAAAGTTTAATTTTCCAGAAGTTAAGTAATTCAAACCCTTAATTAGCTAGAATTTTCTTTCTGCTGTACCGTCTTACAAGAACAACACAAATACTGCTATCAGAAATATTGTTTAAAAGTAATAAAACATGAACTTAGACTGGAATAATCAGTTTAACAAAAGTTAACAAAAAATCCAATATAGGTACCTAAAATATTCCTAGATTCAGCCCAATGTACTAAACAGGCTATCTGCATCTGCTGTCCTTTGTAATCAAAACTGACATTCAGAATAATGATTTGTGTCTCCTGAAATCCCAGGTCCTCAAAGACAAAATAATTATAATAATTGCTATCATTTGAGGACTGCTTGCCAAACAGGCATTGTGCTAAGTGCTTAACATACATTATGCACCATGTGCACATACACACGCACACACTCATTCATTTAAACATCTTAACAACTGCTGGGGGAGGGAGTATATTTTTATTCCTATTTTACAGTTAGAAGTACATTTTACAGATGAGGAAGTTGAAGTCTGGAGAAAAGACATAACTTTCCAAGCTTATACAATTGTTACATATGGCTAGGACTTGAACACAGATCTTTCTGACCCCAAATCTAGCACTCTTAACTCTGTTTATATTCTTAATATTCGTTACCAAACAAGGAGAGTATAGTGATTCATTTTTTGTTTTTAACCACAGACAACGAAATTTCTCCTTGGCTCATAACTAGAAAAAACCCTGGTTCCTCACTAGAAACTGCAGCAAATGAAAGAACTTCATCTTACGTCTGAGAATACACTTACAAATGGCTATCAGCAAGGACAGCCAAAAATTAACTGTGCACATTGGATTGTAACTCCGTAAGCAAGATGATTGTGTTTTATTCATTTCTGTCTCCTCAACAGAGCCAAAAACAATGACTTATTCATGTTGATGGAATGTTTATTGAATTAAAAAGTGTGTAAATAAACGTGCATATCAGCCTCTCAATCATGAAGCTGTAATCGAAAGGGGAAAAACAGAACTGGAAAGACAGATGAGATCATTTAAAAGAAACACTGGCTCTAGTGCTTCCTAGCTGTGTGACCTAAGTAAGTTACTTAAACTCCCTGACTTTTGGATTTCTCATTTGGAAATTGAGAGATTGTATATCACTATTCATATTGTCGGGAGAATTAAATGTACCAAAAAATTCTTAAACAGCTGTTACATAGTGGTCACTTGAAACTCCATTTCATTGTTCCTACTTTCTTATTTTTCCCATTTTCACCAAAAACCTATTTCCTTATGCTTGTACCATTGGCGTATAGAATCTATTATTCTCAAAGTCCTTTGCAATTTACAATGGATATCACGTTATCTTTTTTGAACATTATGATAACTCTGAAAGATAAGGAGAATAGAATAAGCTCAGGTTCTCCCAAAAGTTATAAATGACAAACCTATTCTGTTCTAGTTTGTGCAGTGAGTAAATCACAGTGCTACGATTTAAGACTAGATCCACTAGAATAAATTCTAAGCTTTTCTCATACTCCAAGTTGCTTTTGGAGAGGGTGAGAAAACCAAATCTTACAATCTTTCAGATTCATTGACATATATATTCTAAATACAGAATTATATAATACTCATAAGGCTATACTGTATTCTTCAGGTTTAACTCATACTACTTCTCTTTGTAAAACACCTTCAATTGGTTCTTACCAGCAATTACAGCAATTTTTACCAGGTATCACTCTAATGTTAACACCTGATAATGGCAGAGCCACCAATTACAATAATAGCTGTGAATAAAATTTAGAGCTCATCAACTCTAGGCACAGCCACCACCTTTCTTCTGTGGAGTACACTGGGGTCAGATATATGTAATTAATTAGGACTCTTCTTAATATAATTCTAGTTTTCACACATGTATCAAAAGATTTTCTCTTCTCTTTCTGACCTTTGAAAGTGTAAGAAAAAAATGGGAAAAAATTGACTATAAGGTTTATTCTAACCAAAAAGTTATTCCATTTTTATGTGCTATGTTGAAAAGCAAAATTCTTTTTGTACAATTATTAAATTATTCACCATTCAGCATCTTTCTAGGGTGCCATTATATAGCCGAGTAGATGTCTCTGTACAGAAAGAAAAACATATCAACTCTGAGTCACCTCAGAAAACTAACTTTTTAAATAACAGTACATTACAAATATTTGACATTTATTAAACATCAAAAGATATTTGAGAATGTCTGTTTTCAAAGAACACGGAGTTATGCCCATTCTATTTTAAAGACCACTCTGGATCTAAATTTGACTGAAAAGGACAGAAACTGGAAAATAATGAAGAGGACTTGTAGGCAAAGATAGCAAAGATGGCAGATGTCATCTTGAGTCTGCTGTCCCAGCATGCTGACCCTTCACACCCACACAGTGCATCTCTTTCAACTTTATTAATCTTAACAGAAAGTCCTCTTTTAAGATGAAATAACTAAGGCACAGAGTGACTAAGAATCTAGTTTTGCTTTACATGGCTGTCGGGGACCAGCTCAGAGGGAAAGCTTATTCCCCCAAGGCAATTTCAACTCTCCTACATCCATCTTGCCCACCCACCCCCAGGACTAATTCATCTGGAGAAATTCCTGTGACCTACCCATTCCAAATCTGATGTTCCTATCCTCCTGAGAAGTACAGGGTATCCTTATGTTCTTCTGCTGTCTTCAGCTCAAAACAATTGTTATGTGATTCTGAATGTTCAGGCACATGCAAATAGAAATAAAAGCTGAAAGGTGACTTGTCATTAATTTTTGCCTCTGGTTCCTAGTGTGAGTAGAATTATAGCAATTTTGTGTATTAGAAAAGTTATTTTTCAGATAAATTGAGTCAGACTTCCCTCACTCTTCTCTCTGTGGGCCACAGAATCCTGTAGCTATTTTTGCGGAGGCTTTGATGGCAACGTGTTGCTCAGTGCTCACAGCTTACCTGAAGTGATTAAAACAGCCTGCAAAATCATCTGCAAAAGCTGATGGTCAGGAAAATGGAAGCCAATAAAGGAAGGTCATAAAGTCATATTTGCAGACAAATCATACCAGATCTCTTTCATTAGGGGATACATCTATAAGGTGCACTTCTTGGTCAGCCACCAGCTGAGATTTATGAAATCGGCCTAAGTTAGCCTCAAACCCATCTCATAAGAACAATAAAGTTAATGGAAAAAAAGATGTTATGTATATAGTCCAAGATGCCTGAATTGTAACAGAGTAAGTAATCACCCAAGCGATGTAACTAGAGACTTCTGCCTTTAAATATCTCTCTAGAAACGTGCCGTTATGCCTTAAATTTCATGATTCAAGGCCCATTCCTATAGTCTAGGCATTGTTCCTACAAATAGCATTCTATTTTCAAATGCAAAAGCTCCTGGAGATGGGAAGCATGAAGTCAGTGAAACAGTAGCGTGAATCAATATAGGACAACAAAGAACATTGTTTTCTTTGTTGATAGAGGAACTTCAACACCCCTATGGAGCACTGGGCACTATAGAAATGAGAGCACCTGACAAAAGTGAGGGAGAAGGAAAGAAAAGAACTGGAGTAATATTTCACATGTGCAGTGTAGACCTCATCAGAGAATACTACTTTCACTAACTCCTTGACAGAGTTCACAAGATGAGTTTAGCAATAAATAATGTTAATGCTCATATACAAATAACAAGATATTAACTGCCCAAAATGTCAAGAATTATGGTTGTGTTTACAATTTGTTACATGAGGTTTAAAAAATTTGTTTCCCATGGCATTTTGTGACAGAAGAAATATTAACTTTTTTTATATAGATGGAGGTGATTGTATGACATTCCTTTTCTTTCTAAGCATATAGTGGAATGGCTGCAAAATTCTTATTTTTTGCCTTCTGTAAAACAGTTCCAATCTCACTTGCATAATTCCACTTAAAATCATTGGAGAAAATACCTGACAGAGCCTCATTGTCCTCTCTGGAATCATCCATTTTCATTTTTCTTGTTCTCTGGGCTTTTGTTGTTAGTACCTCAAAGCCTGCAGTCTCGTAGCTAAGTAAAGCTCTTGTCGCTGCCATCCCCATCACTCAGACTTCCCTGCCTCAAATGCTGCTGCTGTTCATGCCAACTTCAGAGATGGCTCTGTGAATGGTTCCAAGGCAGCCTGTCTGAGGGGAGCCCAGGCTGTGCCATTGTCAAGGTATCTGTGTCAGCCTCTTAGTTATCAGACTTTATCAGATGGAAGAGATCAAATCGCTCATCTGCTTTTTTTAGTTTTGAATGCTGAGCATCTGGTGTTTGATTGTGTATTGCCATGTAAGAACACAATAATCCTCAAACATTTTGATCACAAGTAGATCTGTCTGTGAGGAAAAACGACTTCCTGCTGGTAAACGTCTCCTTAGCTTTGATAAAAGGTGTGGAAGACATCACACAGCACCTCAAATTGCCAAGGAAAACAGAGCCTCGTAGATCATTTGGAGTTTTGAAAATTCTGTCAGATAATCTAATTCAATTTTCGGTCTAATTTACTTATTTCAAATTATAAGCGAAAAAAGCTGATAGGCAAAGGGGAAGTGAGTGTCCCTGGTCACCACCTTAGTTAGTGATGCACCCATTCTGTGCATGAGGCCCAGAATCAGAATTTTTACTCTAGTTAATGACTGGAAAACCAGAAAAGACTTGCCTCGGGCTGCTCAAGTGGACAAAAGAGCTTTGAATGCCCCCCACATGCCAGTATGAAGGTGAGGGATAGGGAAGATGAAAGGGAGATGAGGATTGACTTTCTCTGAAGGCATTATCATTGGACCTGACACCAATATTCTGGTGGACTAGTCAGCGGGCTTTTTAGATGGGTATCAAGTGTTACTCTTTATTTTTTTAATCTGCATAGCCAGTCTGAAATAAGAAGAAAAAAAAATGAGATATATAGCTGAAAACTATTCAACTAGGATAAGCAATACTAATTAAAACTTGAAAGTGAAAAAGCTTGTCAAGAATGATTTAGTCACCGAGTTGCTGAGTAGTTTTTCCCTAGAGACTCAGCACCTAATTAAGTAGAGAAGTTATCTCAAAGTACAACCTAAGGGGTTGAGTTGTAGGCTTTCCTGTTTAAGAATCTCTTCTTCACATGCCAGCATGGAACTTCTCACCATCTTAGCATTCACATTCCTCCTTTTGAAAAAACTGTGTCCCAGATGGTATGCTTGGAATGAATAACCCATTAATTCTTACAAACCTAACTTCTACCAACTAAATCTCTAAGGTCACTGAATACAGGAAAAGAAAGATATGATAATCTTGTATGTGAGGAGATGGGGGAAAAGAAAAAAAACTAACACATTACTAACACATTAATTACACATCATGTGTCAGTAACCATGCAAACAGCTTCACATACATCACCTTGTTAGATCCCCACAACATCACTGTGAAGTAGATATTAGCTCTATTTTCCTTTTTCGTTTTTCTTTTTTTCGCTCTGTCTCCCAGACTGGAGTGCAATGGCGCAATCTCAGCTCACTGCAAGCTCCACCTCCCGGGTTGACACCATTCTCCTGCCTCAGCCTCCCAAGTAGCTGGGACTACAAGCGCCCGCCACCACGCCCGGCTAATCTTTTGTATTTTTTAGTAGAGACGGGGTTTCACCGTGTCAGCCAGGATGGTCTCAATCTCCTCACCTCGTGATCCACCCACCTCGGCCTCCCAAAGTGCTGGGATTACAGGCGTGAGCCACCACGCCCGGCCGATATTAGCTCTGTTTTCTAACTGAGGAAAAAGATTCATGAAGTTAAGTTGTTTAAGGTCACAGAGCTGATAAACCAAAGACTGGTGTTGCAGAAATACTTATTAAAAATCATGCTCCTCCAATGTAAAAAATTATAGCCACCATGGAAAACAATATGGTGGTTCTTCAAAAAATAAAAATATATTTACCATATAGCCTAGGAATTCCCACTCTTGGCACATACCCAAAAGAATTGGAAGCATGGACTCAAAAAGTTATTTGTACACCCACGTTTATAGTAGCATTACTCACAATAGCCAAAAGGTGGAAGCAACCCAAATGTCCATCAACAGATGAATGGATAAACAAAACAAAATGATAAAAAAGTTGATTTCCCAGTTCTGAAAATCTGAAATCTGAAATGCTCCAAAATCCAAAAGATTTTGAGTGCCAACGTGATGCCACAAGGGGAAAATTCCACACCTGACTTCATGTAATGGGTTGTAATCAAAACATGGGCACACAACACAGTTTATTCAGCATCTGCAAGGGAAAAAGACCCACCCAGCCCCCTTTAGCTGTGAGATATCTTTTCCATACGTGCCCACATTCCCCCACACAAGCACTCCCACAAAGAGTAATAAAATGGCATGTATGCAGGCAGAACGCAACAATAGCAAGTTCCCCACAATGTCCCACATGGGGCCAAGACCTATATGCAAAATTCACTGTTTTTGTTTTGTTTTGATTGCTTACTTATTCTGTGCTCTGTGGCAAAAATATATTGTTGAGAATGCCAAAAAGGCCTGCAGCTACCCCTATGGGCAAGAGTACTTTTTTAAAAAGAGGAAGCATTTATGTTTATCTACAGCACAGAAAGTTAAGCTGTTGGTAAAACTGGACAGTGACATAAGTGTTAAGTGTGAAACATCTTAAATAAGAGTATGGTACTAGAATGACCACCGTATATGACCTGAAGAAACAGAAGGATAAACTGTTGAAGTTCCATGCTGAAGGGATGAACAGAAGTTAATGAAAAGTGGAGAAACACTGCCTAAAGCTAAAAACGAAGATCTTGATTGTGTATTACAAGGGTAAATCCATCAGTGTTGCAGTAAACACATGCCACTTAAGGACATATTGATCATGAAGCAAGCAAAGATCTATCACAATGAACTGAAAAATGAAAGAACTATGAATATTCAATAGGCTGCTTGAATTTAAGAAAAACACAGCATTCAGTATTTAAAGATTTGTGGTGATAAAGCATCTGCTGATCATGAAGCAGCAGATAAATTTATTGATGAGTTTGCCAAGGTCATGCTGATGAAAATATGCCACCAGAACAAATCTATAATGCTGAGGAAACATCGCTATTTTGTCATAGAAGGAAGACTTGACGGCAGCTGAAGAACTCCTACTGAATTAAGGATGCCAAGGACAGAATAACTGTTCTGGGATGTGCTAATGCAGTAGGCATGCCTAAGTGTAAACTTGCTGATAGGTAAAAGCTTGTGTCCTTCCAATCTGGTAAGTGAATTTCTTACCAGTCCGTTATTACCCTAACAAAAAGGCACAAGCCACCCAGGGACATTTTTTCTAATTGGTTTCAAAAACATTTTGTACCAGTGCCTTGTGCTCACTGCAAGGAAGCTGGACTGGATGATGATTGCAAGATTTTGTTATTTCCTGCCAACTGTTCTGCTCATCCTCCAGCTGAAATTCTCATCAGAAGTAAAGTCTATGTCATGTACTTTCCCCCAAGTGTGACTTCATTAATTCAACTCTGTGACCAGGGTCCAGATCAATAAGGAGTAAATACAAAACACTTTCTCAAGGAGCATACTAGTAGCAGTATGAGGAGGGGTGGGTGCAGATTGCAAAAAGGAGTTTAGCATCAAAGATGTAACTGCATCCCAGAAGAATGCCTCCTCATCCCCAGAAGACTTATTTCCTGGTCTCTCAATTGCTTCTAATGTTTCTTCTCACCTAATATAAAATAAAATAAAATACAGCATATAGTATCATTTTAATCAAAACTCAGCATTGCAGGTGGAGACTGGAAGCCTGCTGCTGCTTATTGTTGCTGTTATTTAACAGCTGATACAGGTATTCTGGTGATGCTACTGTGCTGCTTCCTTACACTGAACTTTCACTATATTATGTCATATTTCTTACTGTTAAGTACTTATGTGTGAACACGTGTAAGAAAATGACTCCTTTTGATAGAATATAAATTCAGAGTTAGGAATGATGGTGATGCTAAGCAACCACAGATCATCCACATGGGTGGCTGAGATAGCGACACCTTTGCTTTCATTTTTTTTAAGTTTTAAAATTTTTTATTTTTATAGATTTAGGGGTTACAAGTGCTGTTTTCTTACATGTATATTTTGAGTAGTGGTGGAGTCTGGGCTTTTAGTATGACGATCAGCCAAATAGTGTGCATTGTAACCATTAGGTAATTTCTTATCCCTCACCCCTTTCCCGTGTGAGTCTCCAATGTCTATTATTTCACTCTCTAAGAAATATTGTACTGTAAGGTTTTGTTTTCCATGAATTTGTGGTGGAAACCCCCATTTCTCACTTTTGTCTGTAGATCAAAGTAACTGAATAATGAGAACATATTTAGTAAACTGACAGCTTTGCCTTCTGATGGTTCAATATATACAAACTTTGTTTTGTGCACAAAATTACTTAGAATATTTTATAAAATTACCTTTGGGCTATGGGCATAAGGTATATATGAAACATAAATTAATTCCATGGTTTGACTTGGGTCCAATCCCCAAGATATATCATTATGTATATGAAATATTCCAAATAAAAAAAATCCCTAATCTGAAACACTTTTGTCTCAAGTATTTCAGATAAGGGATACTCAGTCTGTATTTGTATGTGAGGAAATAATATTCCTCCTTGAAAAGGAAGGAAGTTCTGACATGAATGAACCTTGAAGACATTATGCTAAGTGAAATAAGCCAGTCACTAAAGGACAGATACTGTATGGTTTTACTTGTTTTTTTCTTTCTTTTTACAAAAAAAAATTTCTGTGCTTTAATGGAGGAAAATGTATTATTTTATTTATAGGTAGTACCTAGACTAGTTAAATTCCTAGACACAGAAAGTAGAAGGGTGATTCCCAGGGTCACAGGAGGAGAGAGGAATATAAAGTTGTTGTTTAATGGGTACAGAGTTTCGGTTTGGGAAAATAAAAAATGTTCTGAAGATGGATGGTGGTGATGGTTGTATAACAATGTAAACATATTTAAGGTCACTGAACTAAACACTTACAAATAGATAAAATGATATATTTTATGTTGTATATATTTTACTACATAAAAATTATTGTGCTACTCCTTCCATACTATAGAGTTATTACAGTGTTTTAGTCAGTTCTGGATGCTATAACAAAATACCTTAGACTGGGTAATTTATGAATAACAGAAATGTATTGTTCACATTCCTGGAGGCTGGGAAGTCCAAGATCAAAGCTCTGGCAGATTCAGTGTCTGGTAAGGGCTCGCTCTCCAAAAATTGCACCTTTTATCGGCTTCCTCACACGGCTGAACACTGTGTCTTTACATGGTGGAAAGGAGGCGAGGCAGCTTCCTTCAACCTCTTTTATAAAGGCACCAATTCCATTCATGAGGGCACAATGCTCATTACTTAATCACTTCCCCCAAAGGCACCATCTCTTAATACTATCATATTGGTTATTATTTTCCATAATATGAGTTCTATAGGGACATCAGCATTCAGACCATAGCACTGGGGAATGGCTGCCCAGCCAGCAACTACATTTCCCAGATGTCCTTGCATGCTGGTGGGCCATGTGAATAATTCTCCCCAAGGGAAACTGTGCGGAAGTAATATTATGTATCTTCTGCAAAAAGGCAGTTAAGAAGCGGATGTGCCTTCTCCAACCTCTTTTTCACCATTTGCTGGCTATTGTCAGAGAATGGTGAGACTGTAGATCAGGGAGAAATCATGAGACGGAAGAAGTCTGGGCCTCTGAGTCACCATGTCTTAGAAAATTTCACAGGACTTAAGAGGGTGAGAAATAGAATTTTATTGAAATGCACTATTGTTTAGGAGTTTATTGTTATAGTAATCCTTTCCCTAAATATACCAGTAGGGATTTGTACTCTGTCCCATGTAACCTGGGGAAATGAAAGGGCAGACCCAAAGGTTGAGCACTACTAGTGAAGACAAGGCCAAGAAACACTGCCATGAGAGACCCAGAATGAGTGTGAGAGTGCTAGAAAGCAATAAATACCGTGACAGACATGGAGGTTGAATGCTTTTACTCCAGTAAAAGGCAGTCTAATCCATTTGTGGTGTGACCAACCTTGAGCAGTGAAAATGAGACCAAAATAAAATTAACACGCAGAACTTGTGATCTGGGGAAAAAGCTAAGAATCAGCTTCCAAATTGCAGCAAGAAGATGATGGGAGGATCACACCAAGAAGGTCAGTCTCTAAAATTGCATCGTATAATCAACCATTAGTGCTGCCATAAAAACAGCCTCTGAGTCTCTTTCAACTATACTTTTATGACTGTCTCTTACTTGGTTATATATTTAGCTTTATAAGAGGCCTGCTGTCTCAAAGTGCCTTGAGTTAGGCCACAGGGAGTTTGGGAACACAAAAGCGTTGGTTAATATTAACTTTCACATGATTATAAGTTGGAGTATGTGGTGCAACTCTTACAGAACATTATGAATGATGACCCAGAAGCGAGGGACCAAGGGCGCTTTATTGACCTCAAACCTTCTGCCAATGGATGACATCATTATTCATTTATTTGTGAGTCACATTTAGTAGGTATCTTTCTTCTGAAAGTGCTTGTGTTTTTAGCTTAAAATAACAAATAGAGCATTTAGATAAAGCAGAATCAGAGACGGGAGTGCTTGTATTAAAAGTGAAAAATAAAACATGGCTGAGTGCTATGGTGTCCCCAAAAAGGTTCCAGGGCTGTCTTTCCTATTGCCTGTTTTCAGTGGTGCTTAGGCAGAAAGCAGACAAATTTTAAAAAATAAATAAATAAAATAAAACAAACAAACAAAAAACAGTATGCAGTCCCAGTCAAGGATGTAAGCCAGCAGAAGTTTCCAAATGTGGATGCTATGAAATAGATGATTCTTCAAGGATTCACCACCCCAGAACACAATGCACAAAGCAGTACGTCAGAGATAAAGGAGCCCACAGGATGAGAGTAAGTTTTCTCATTTCAGGGATATAGTGGAATAAGTAAAGATCCCATGTAAAACTAGGTTTGGATACCAGGTCAGACAAAAAGTTGAACCTGAAGCAAGTTTTAATCGACACCTCTGTTTAGTAATACTCTAGATGTGAAGGTACCCAGTAAAGTGGCAGGTGTTTACATAGGTGTCCAGATAGGTCACACTGAGATATGTGCTGTTGTAGACTCTCATGCCATTGATATGTATCCTCATCCTCTCATCCATCTGGGACACAGGAACCCCACTGTTAAAAACAGCTCGCACCCTGCTCATAAGAAAGTCTTGGGCATATAAAGACATATTTGAAGGACGGAGAGAATGTACTAAAAGAATCCAGCTTTCAGAGAGGACCTGCACTTCAGAATGGGGAATCCCCATAAGTGAGGGAGTCAGGCAGGAGCACCCTTCTTAACAATCACATCTGACAGGAAACAATGTTTCTAAACACAGCATGAAGCTGTTCTTGAACCTGCTTTGATCTTCACTTCTAGGGAGTACTCATGGACCCTGGGATACAGAAAGATGAAAGAACCCTGTCACTGAGTCACCAAGTGATTACATTAGGAGACCCCACCCATATACAATTCTCACAGGACATGAAAAGAAGACGTAGTTCCTCACCTATCAGAAAGAATGGCAAACACCTGACACCAAGCAGCAGGTGAGAAGGTAAGGGCACAAAAGATGCTACCTCAAGGAATGCGAGAGGTTGCCACTAGACCAAGGCCACCATATGAATGCCTGGATCCAAGGCAGCAGGCTCATGAGGGTGGTAATACATAAGGAATCCAGAGACAGATCCTGGCCAAGCTGTACCAACACAGAATCAACCCTGGAGGAGACTCACAGGTCATAGAGGAAAGTAAGAGTAAAGAAGTTCAAGAATGATCTAGGTCAGTGGTTCTCAACCTTTGAGGACTCAGGATTCCTTTACAATTTTAAAAATTATTGAGTACCCCAAAGAAAATTTATGTGGGTTACATCTATTGATATTTACTAAGTTATAAATAAAAACAAAATTGATAAACAGATTATTTATTCACTTAATAATAAAATCCATTCCATATTATCCTTATGAAAAATAGCTACATTATCCAACCCAAAAAATAAAAATTGAAAAAAGTAATGTGTTTCACATTTTTGCAAATCTCTCTAATATCTGACTTAAAAGAAGATATTTGGATTGTTACATTGATTTCAACATTCAATTTCTTCGGATATTTTGCTTTATTTGAAGGACATGAGGAAAAACTTTTACAGACATGTAACTGGAAAATGGAGAAGTATTTTAATAGTCTTTTCAGGGAACTATGAATAGTCTTCTTTGATACTACACCAAATTTCAACAAGTGTTGGTTCCTTACAGATTAATTGCTGTGGAATCTAGAAACATATCATTGTGCTTATCATACTCTGTTACATTAAAATCTATCGGTTTATCTCGCACATTTAATGAAACTTTTACCCATGCATGATCTTCTATCATGTATCAATCATTTAGAAATTGTTGATTCATTGTTATGAATATTAACATATCATTATCTGCTATCAAAAAAACACTTTTTAAATATTTCCATTGATCTTTTCAGAAATGTCTTTAAGTATGAGGAAGCAGCCAAGCTCACAGTGGCAGATGCAAGTTTTAATTTTCACTTATAAGACAAAATTTTCTTATTGGCAACAAACAAAGGAAAATTGTCAGTTGTTTTCCCTAAAGGGAAAGTCTTACTTTGTTCATTTTTGAGGAAATATCTGCCAAATACCCAAGTTTAAACAACGATAATTTTTCTGGCAGTCATACTTCCAAGAAAAAAATGCTGTTCCACAAAAAAAAAAAAGACAGAGAGAGAGAGAGAAAAAAACGTCTATCCTGGTTTAGCTCACAACGCAAACAACTGCATAAGTGCTTTTCCCTAAGACAAGAATTGTACTTCAATGTGCAGCAGAGTACTTTACACACATTTCTTATGTCATCACCCAGAAGATGTAAATGATACATACTCAAGGTTCAAGGTTTAATAAAATTAATATCTCTTACTGCTTCATTGAGGGAATTTTTCAATAAAACTGATTTTTTTTACTGTGTGCGGCAGTGAAAAATACAATGTTCCTGTAAAAATTGGTGTTTCAGGCTTGATTCATGCTAAGGCGCCAGCGCTTTTATCCACCATTGATTTTGTGCCATCAGTACAAATGTCAACATAGTGAAAATGAAATCTAGTGCTTCCATGTTATTATGAAAATTTTTTGTTTTCATATTATTATGAAAATAAATTACGGACTCCCTGAAAGGACTTTGTTGAAGTCTGTAGAACACACTTTGAGAACTACTGATCTAAGTCATTGGTTCTCAAACTTGGCTGCCTATTAGAGTCACCTGAGATGTTTTAAATATTGATGCTCAGGCCACATCTTTGACCAATGAAATCAAAATCTCTGGGTATAGGGTCCTGGCATCAGTATGTTTTAAGCTGTTTTGGTGATATCAGCATACATCCAAGTTTAAAAACCAGTGATGTAAGTCCGCTGTCATTCACATTCCTATGGTATACTAAATGATAGAGGTATGACAGCTCTGAGACCCCAGGAAGCACCAGCACTTTCAGTTCAGTTCAGTTCACCACCATAGGGTGGCATCTATGCAGAATCCTGGAGGATAATTTTTGTCATGCCTGGATTCCCAGTCGTTGGCCCATTTATCACCAATGTTGCTAAATATACAGTAGCATGTGTTATGGAAGAATGCATAAAGCACTGGTCAAGGATTCAAGCCAAGTACTCTAAAGCTAACTCTAATATTTATTAGCTTTGTGGTTTGGCCAAAATACTTAGCTTCTTTGCTTCCTTATCCTAAAAATGGTGATGATAATAACAACATCTATTCTCAGTGGGTGGTTAGGAGGATTAAATGAGCAAATATATGGAAACTCTTAGAACAGTTCTTGGCACATTGGAAGCACTAAATGTTAGCCATTAATACTATCCACTGAAATGCAACTTTCAATGATATATCAAAAGTAGCTATCAGACAATAAACATTTCTTGAATAAATGAATGTAAAAAATACCACAATTAGAGCAAAGGAGTTATGTCATGAAGTCTGGCTTTATCACTTACTGTATTAGCTTGGTAAGTTATGTAAACTTTCTGAGTTTCAGCCTTATCCATAAAATGTAGATTGTGGATTCAATGGTATATGGATATAAATTGCTACATAGTAGGTGATCAATCAATTATAACTTTTAACATTTTTTAATCATCTAATGTAAATCACGATTCTCTTCGAGTCTTGAATTCAAAACTCTAAAGTGGGAATGATAGTTTCCATTAAACTTATTTCAAATTTCAAATGATGAATATGTAAATCAAGCCAAGTGTGTAATATATGTGCTACAGAAACAGGAGGAAATATGTGCTATATGTGTTGAGTGTTCTTGTAGAACTTTCTCTCCCACTGGTCCACCACAAGGCCTAACATTCTCACCATTTAAAACACTGTTCTATCCTAAAGCAATTTGTCTCCAGAAGGTCCTCGTTAAAATGTACATGGAAAGGATAATGTATAAATCTTAGCTTTTAATTACCACAATGCTCAAGCTAATTAATGATGATCTAATACATTTAGATTTTAGAAATTCTGTAGTATTTCCTAGTTGAATGACTAGAAATGACAAATTATAGTTTAAAAGGGGAGGAGAAAGAGGAGAAGTGGAGAAGAAGAGGAAGAAACATGCTAACATTCTATTTCCCTCTTGTCTCCAAGACAATTAATAATTGCTCCAAGTAAAATGCAGCAAGTATAATTGTTCCATTTTATTTGGAACAATTATTATTATTAATTATTATTATCATGCTATATTATTACTATTATTTTACACTATTATTGCTACCATTTTAATAATAAGGAAATGAAAGTTTTGAGGCATTAATGTGATTCGTCCAACATATGCAGATAATAAGTGACAAGACTGGGATTCAAATCAGATCTGATTCCAAAGACACGGTATTACAGGCCACATACAGTCTATGATAAAGTAAACTTGGAAGGGAACAGGAGGCAAAGTGAGGTCAGGGAAGGCACAGGATCCCCTAACCACAGAACTGAAGAGATTGAGGAAGATAAGAACAGAATGATGTGGGACTTGCAAAGTGCTTTGACAAGAAAGATCTAACAATAGCATTGAAGATCTGCTTTAAAATAACCCAAAAAAGGATGAAACAATCAAGTACACTTGCTATGGTTGTTGCAGATTTTAGAAGATAATTTGGCTCCGAATTGTCTATACAATTTCATCTTCCACTCCTGCATGCTGCCAGCCCACCAAATCAGACCTTCCTTTACTACTCATATTGCCCTCTGTCTGAATGCTCTCCTTTCTCTATTTTTTTTATTAAATTTTTTTATTTCCATAGGTTTTGGAAGAACAGGTGGGATCTGGTTACCTGAGTAAGTTCTTTGGTGATGATTTGTGAGATTTTGGTACACCCATCACCAGAGCAGTATACACTACACCCAATTTGTAGTTTTTTATCCCTCACCCCCTTCCCACACTTTCCCCCACAGAGTCCCCAAAGTCCATTGTATCATTTATGCCTTTGCATCCCCATAGCTTAGCTCCACTTATGAATGAGAATGTAGAATGTTTGGTTTTCCATTTCTGAGTTCCTTCACTTGGAATAATAGTCTCCAGTCCCATCCAGGCTACCGCAAATTCCATTAACTCATTCCTTTTTACGGCTGAGTAGTATTCCATCACATATATATACCACAGTTTCTTTATCTACTCTTTGATTGATGGGCATTTGGGTCCCTAGTTCTATCCATTGTCTACAATTTCTCTCAAAGTCCAGGTCACGTCCTCTCTCCTTTGTTAAATTTACATATATTTTCCTCTTTTTTCAACTCATGTTGGTTCTAAGTCAGGTAAGATATATTTTGGTGTTTATTTATATACTAAATTGTCTCATATTTTTCATTGATTGTTTTTGACTCTCTAAACTGAAAATCTACAGGGCACAGACTCTCTTGACTAGTTTTCAAAATGCAAACAGCCTTATTGTGCAGTTTGTAGTAAAATTTATACATGAAGTAGAAAGAAATATATTCATACGAAGTCCCATCAACTAGACACGTAACTATACGAATGTTTGATCAATAAGCTTGAAGACAATCCATTCTTAACACACACATCCCTACATAAAATATTAAATAAATTTGTTCACCTATTAACAGCTTTTTAAACCTTTTTTTATTTAATAATTCTTTATGTCTATCTTTTCATATGGATAAATCTAGAATTATATCATTATTTATAATGCCTATGAAGTTTGCAGTTGTATGGATATGCACATATTGATTTAGTCAATCTCCCATTGAGGGGCATTTAACTCGTGTCTAAATTTTGTTATTATAAACAAGCCTAAGACAAACAACTTGATACACGTGCCTCTTCATAGTTTTCTCATAATCTCCTTAGAATAAATTCCTAGAAGTATAATTATTTGATGAGATCGTTTCATTTTATTTCTATTCCCATATAATACTGTATACAGACCTAAGCACAACAAAATACAACCTAGAAAGCCTGGGGGTAAATTCAGCCTGACAGATAAAGTCTCTAACAGACAAACATGGGATACCAAACACAAATGTAGATAAATTTCTCTGAAAAAAATCTATTGAGTGTAAGTCCCAACACCCTGTGTCTTCCCCCCAAAAATTTCTTTCTTTTTCATTCAAGGGAGAGTTTTCAATGTTAATGAAAAAATGGAACTAGTTAACAATTTGCTGGTAAGGAAAAAGTGCTTGGAATGGGGCTCCTGTCAACTAAAACTGCTGACAGAAGTCACAGAAACCAGTAAGGGAAGATGATTTCTTTGCATTCTGATTTAGAGCCCAAATGCATTTTCCTCTAAAGTCCCAGGGATCGAATCAAATGTCAGTGTACAAAAATCTATTTAACCTAAAATGTACGTGACTGTGTTTATAATACAATGTCAATGATGTAGATTCAAATTCATTGCATTGTTTCTATCGAAATATACCCTGCATCACAACCACCTACATTAAAGGAAAAACTTTGTTTTTTCTTTCTCTACTCTCAACACTCACCACAGAACACTTCTGTGACCAAATGTTGGGGGGGCGATTTCTCTAATAATCAATTCTCTGACACCAACTGGGTGCCCTACAGTTCAATTCAATTCTGACATTAGCCACCTGGAGTTGTCTTCTGATCCCACAAGTCAAGGTCTCAGTCCCACAAACCTGTTCCTTCCTGCCTCCCACTTGCCAATTGCAAATCCAGGCCTCTGGTACCGGTACTTCTGACTGACCAGCTATAAATTGGGGATTCTCACAATCCCCTCCTCTGGTTTGGTCATTTGCTAGAAGGGCTCCCAGAACTCAGGAAAACACTTGACATATGTTCATCTACTTATTGTAAAAGGATGCAAATCAGGAAAGCCAGATGGAAGAGATAAATAGGGCAAAGTATAGGGGAAAGGGACATGGTGCTTCCATGCTCTCTCTAGCAGTGCCACCTTCCCAGCACCTCCTCATGTTCAGCAACCTGAAAGCTCTCAAATGAACCTTCCAATGATAAAATTCTATAATA
The DNA here is from genome assembly GCF_000001405.40 of Homo sapiens. Classification (NCBI taxonomy): domain Eukaryota; kingdom Metazoa; phylum Chordata; class Mammalia; order Primates; family Hominidae; genus Homo; species Homo sapiens. Next base: position 109,802,570 of record NC_000011.10, read on the forward strand.
CTGTGAATCCTTAGCAGATTTCCTGGAGATAACTCCTCATTGAAGAATATTTACTCTGGGCTGGGACCCAATTAGACTATGTGAAAATAGATATTAAATGACTTGGGAGGAACTTTTTGTAACCTTAAAGGTAAAGTACATTTTTATGCTAATCATAATTACTAGAGTGTAGAAAGGAGGAATAACTCACCTATAATGAAATTGAATTTGAAACAGATTGTTTGTAAATATCTTCTAAAGTAAAACTTTTTGACAAGATTCCCACCATCAACCAAAATGGAGAAACAGGGACCAGGGAACAGATTTACTCTACCATATAAAATAGTTAAAAAAAAAACTGGACAAAATATATGAAAATACAGTTTTCAAGATATTGAACATCAAGAAACAAAGAACAGCGATCTGTGAGACTCAGAAAACCAAGGAAGTGAGCCCTAAAATTTCATCAGCTTATTTCCTGGAAAGAATATCCCATGCAGTGGCACAGGGAGGAAGAAACTAAAAAGATTCCAGAAAGTTCTCTGCGTTAATAAGACAAAGCAGAAAAAAAAAAAAAAAAAGACTAGACATTACAGTGCAGAGTACTAGGGAAGAGAGAACTTCAGAGAGAATGAAAGACAGAGCGTGCTCCTGAGATATGCAGCGAATCTTCCTGAATCTTCAGCTGGGTACTAATCAATATGTATGAAAAGAGACTACCCAAGGCTAGAGAATCACACCCAAAATGATTAGAGAGAACAATCTCTGTAGACCACACAGGGCCAGAAATAGTTGCTGTTGTCACAAGCCAGAGTGGAAAATCTTATCAAGTAACAGGACGTTGAATAGAGTAAGCAAAGCTATTTTGCTTCAGTAGTGGAGGAAAATTAACCCTATCTTAAGTATGCTCGGCCCCACCTTTAAAAGATTGAAAAAAAAAATCATTACCAGAAATGATTGAACTGTTTCAAATAAAATTTAGCTACATCCTAGAACTACAACAAGAGTATATATAGGAACAAAAAGTGTTCCACACCTAACAGGTTAAATTCACAATGCTTAATATCAAATCAAAAATTACTCAGTCATGAAAGAAAGCAGAAAAATAAAACTCACAATGAGAAGAAATATTAGTCTCAGTTAGAATCACAATGAGAAGAAATATACCAATCCAGAAATGCCAACAGTGATAGAATTAGTATAAAAGAATAATAAAACACTTCAAAATGGTACTATGTATGTTCAGGAGGCTAGAAGAAAGACTGAACATCTTAATTTGAAATTCAGAAACTTAAAACCACAATGAGATATTGCATTAGTCCGTTTTCATGATGCTGATAAAGACACACCCGAGACTCAGAAGAAAAATAGGTTTAATTGGACTCACAGTTTTACATGGCTGGGGAAGCCTCAGAATCATGGCAGGAGGTGAAAGGCACTTCTTATATGGTGGTGGCAAGAGAAACTGAGGAGAAAGCAAAAGTGAAAACCTCTTATAAACCCATCAGATTTCATGAGACTTATTCACTATCACGAAAATAGCACAGGAAAGACCAGCCCCCATGATTCAATTACCTCCTACTTGGGTCTCTCTCACAACATGTAGGAATTCTTGGAGATACAATTCCAGTTGAGATTTGGGTGGGGACACAGCCAAACCATATTATTCTGACCCTGGCCCCTCCAAATCTCATGTCAGCACATTTCAAAACCAATCATATCTTCCCAAAATGTCTTAACTCATTTCACCATTAACCCAAAAGGCCACAGTCCAAAGTCTCATCTGAGACAAGGCAAGTCCTTTCTGCCTATGAGCCTGTAAAATCAAAAGCAAGCTAGCTAGTTCCTAGATACAATGGGGGCACAGGAATGGGGTAATTGCAGCCATTCCAAGTGAGAGAAAATGGCCAAAACAAAGGGGTTGCCAGGTCCATGCAAGTCCAAAATCCAGCATGGCAGACAAATGTTAAAGCTCCAAAATGATCTCCTTTGACTCCATGTCTCACATCCAGGTCACACTGATGCTAGAGGCAGGTTCCCATGGTCTTGAGCAGCTCTGCCCCTGTGGATTTGCAGGATACAGCCTCCTTCCCAGCTGCTTTCATGGTCTGGCTTTGAGTGTCTGCAGCTTTTCCAGGTGCACAGTGCAAGCTGTCATTGGATCTACAATGCTGGGATCTGGAGGATGGTGGCCCCCTTCTCACAGCTCCACTAGGCAGTTCCCCAGTAGGGACTCTATGTGGGGGCTCTGATCCCATATTTCCTTTCCACATTGCCGTAGCAGAGGTTCTCAATGAGAGTCCCACCCCTACAGCACACCTCTGCCAGTACATCCAGGCATTTCCATACGTCTTCTGAAATCTAGGCAGAAGTTCCCAAACCTCACTTCTTGACTTCTGTGTACTCACAGGCTCAACACCATGTGAAAGCTGCCCAGGCTTGAGGTTTGCATCATCTGAAGCCACAGCCCAAGCTCTATATTGGCCCCTTTCAGTCTTGGCTGGAATGGCTAGGACAGAGGGCACCAAGTCCCTTGGCTGCACACAGCACCAGGACCTTGAGCCTGACCTGCGAAACCACTTTTACCTCCTGGGCCTACAGGCCTGTGATGGGAGGGGCTGCCATGAAGGTCTCTGAAATGACCTGGAGACATTTTCCCCATTGTCTTGGGGACTAACATTAGGTTCCTTGCTACTTATGCAAATTTCTGCAGCCATCTTGAATTTCTCCCCAGAAAATTGATTTTTCATTTCTATCACATAGCCTGTAAATTTTCGAAACTTTTATGCTCTGCTTCCCTTATAAAACTGAATGCCTTTAGCAGTATCCAAGTCACCTCTTGAATGCTTTGCTGCTTAGAAATTTCTTCCACCAGATATCCTAAATCATCTTTCTCAAGTTCAAAATTCTACAAATCTCTAGGGCAGAGGCAAAATGCCACCAGTTTCTTTGCTAAAACATAACAAGAGTCACCTTTACTCCAGTTGCCAACAACTTCCTCATCTCCATCTGAGACCACCTCAGCCTGGACCTTATTGTTCGTAGTGCTATCAGCATTTTGGGCAAAGCCATCCAACAAGTCTCTAAGAAGTTCCAAACTTTCTCACATTTCCCTGTCTTCTTCTGAGCCCTCCAAACTGTTCCAACCTCTGCCTGTTACCCAGTTTCTGAGTCACTTCCACATTATTGGGTATCTTTTCAGCAATGCCCCACTCTACTGGTACTAATTTACTGTATTAGTCTGTTTTCATGATCCTGATAAAGACATACCCAAGACTGGTAAGAAAAAGAGGTTTAATTGGACTTAGAGTTCCACATGGCTGGGGAGGCCTCAGAATGGCAGAAGGTGGCAGTAAGAGAAAATGAGGAGGAAGCAAAAGCAGAAACCCCTGATAAACCCATCGGATCTCATGAGACTTTGTCACTTCCATGAGAACAGCACAAGAAAGACCAGCCCCCATGATTCAATTACCTCCCCCTCAGTCTCTACAGCACATGGGAATTCTAGGAGATACAATTCAAGTTGAGATTTGGGTGGGAACACAGCCAAACCATATCAGGTATTACTACAAAACTTTCATAATGACTAAAATAAAAAATAGTTATAATGTTATATTCTGTCAAGCATGCAAAGAAACTGGATTACTCATGCATTACTGGTATAAATATAAAATGGTTCAGCCACTCTGGAAAATAATTTGACAATAATTATACTCTCAGGCACTTATCCCAGTAAAATAAAAACTTATGTTCATTCAAGAACCTGTAAATAAATGTTCATAGCAGATCTAATCTAAATGGCCAAATCTGGAAGCAACTCAAATGGCCTTCAATGGGTGAGTGGTTAAATTAATTGTGGTACATCCAAATCATGGAATATTATTTAGCAACAAAAAAGAATGAAGTATTGATAGATACAACAGTTTGGATGAACCTCAAGGAAATTATGGTGAGTAAAAAAGAGATTCGCAGGTCCAGATGGTTTTAGTGGTGAATTCTTCTAAACTTTTGAGAAACAAATAAAAAAATTCATACAAACTCTTCCAGAGAATAGAAAATGAGAAAATCTTCCAAACTTGCCTTATGATTTAAGAATAATATTAAAGCCAAAACCTGAAAATGACTTTATAGGAATGGAAAATTATAGGCAAATATATCTTATTATTAGATGCAAAAAAACTAACAAAATTAATCAATGATATAAAAAAAGAAATACATCATGACCAAGTTAGCTTGGTATTCCAAGAATGCAAGACTTATTGAACATCCAAAATCAATCAAATCACATTTGATTGAAAATTTTTTTAAATCATGGGATCAACAAATACAGGAAAAAATGTAATAAAATTTAATACCTGCTCATGACAAAAACTTTCAACTAACTAGTAAGGGAAACAAACACTCTCAACATAATAAATAAATATACAAAAAAACCTACATTTATCACTACACTTTACTTCACATTAATTCACTATACTTAATTGTGAATTATTGAACACTTTCTACTGAATTTTGAAACAAGAAAAGAATGTCTTTTGTCACCAGTTTTATTCAACATTGTACAGGAAGTTCTAGCTGGTACAATATGGCAGGAAATAGAAATCAAAAGCATAAATATTAGAAAGAAAGAGGTGGCCAGGATGGTGGCTTAAGCCTGTAATCCCAGCACTTTGGGAGGCCAAGGCAGAAGGATCACTTGAGCCCAGGAGTTAAAGACCAGCTTCGCCAACATAGCGATACTAAATAAATAAATAAATGGGCTTTGTGGTGTATGCCTGTAGTGCCAGCTACTCAGGAGGCTGAGATGGAAGGATCCCTTGAGCTCAGGAGGTTGAGGCTGCAGTCAACCATTATCACACCACTGCACTCCAACTTGGTCAACAGAGTGAGACCCTGTCTCAAAAATAAAAGGCAAAAAATGTATTACAGATGACATGATTATATATAAAAATTCTGAAACAATCAACAAACAAATTATAAGGATTAATATCTGAATTTTTAAAAATTGCTGGATACAAAGTTTATATTTAGAAATTCTTTACATTTCTATATACTGGAAACAAATAATTGAAATATAAAAATGAAAGTTATACCATATCGAATAGCACCAAAAGCATCATATACCTAAGAGTAAATATTTTTAAGACAAGCAAGACTCCTGCACTAAAAAATAAAATATTACTGCAAGAAAGAACAAAAAAAAATGAAGCAAATGGAGAGATATACAATGCTCATGGATTAGAAAATTCATGCTAGGCTGGGATGTCAATTCTTTCTCACATAATCGAATTGAAAACCCCAATCAGAACCCCAGCACATTTTTTTAAATTGCCAAACTGATTCTAAAATGATATGGAGATACAAAAAAATCTAGAATAGCCAACGCAAACTTAAAGATGAAAAAAGCTGGAGAACTTAAATATCTTAACTTTCAGGCTTATTATGGCTAATAATACAGCTACAGTTATTAAATGTGATATTGGCAAAAGGATAGACAAATTGATTAATGGAACAGGATAAGATCCCAGAGGTAAGTCCAAACATAACAGACACCAGATTTAATGGCAAGTCTCCACTACAATTCAGTGGGGGAAAGAATGTTATTTTTGATAAATGGTACTGTCAATTGGATATCCATGTTGATAGCCTTAATCCATCACACCATAATAAAAAATTAAAGCAAGATGAACCATATATCTAAAAGTGAATGATAAAATAACCAAATTTCTTAAAGAAAACTTAGGAGACTATCTTAAAGAACTGAGGATAATTAAAGAATTCTTAAACAGACACCAAAAGCACTAATCATAAAGACTAAAAATGATACTCAGTCAAAATTACAGACTTCTCTTTATCAAAAGACACTATTATGAGAATAGAAAGGAAAAGGACAGGGAGAAGCTATTTGTGCTACATAGATCCAAATAGAACTTGTATCCAAAGTATCTAATGAATTTCCACAGGTCTGTAAGAAGAAATTACACTATGCAATTAAAAAATGAACAAAATATCTGATATCTTCATAAAGAAGATAGCCAAATTATCAATAAATGAATGAGAAGGTGTTAAACATCATTATCAGAAGAATGCAAACTAAAGCCACATGAGGTATCCCTACATAGCCCATCAGCAGGGCTTAAATTACTGCCTGGTGAAACTTTAAAGTGATACAAATACTTTGGAAAACGGTGTGCCAATATCTACTAAAGCTGAGCATACTCCCACTCTATGACTCAGCACTTCCTCTCCTCAGTATATACCCAGACAAATGAGTATTTATGTTCACAAAAAGACATGAACAGAAATATTCATAGCAGTATTCTTCATCAATGCCCAAAACTGTAGACCACTCAAATGGCCTCAATATTAGAATGAATAAACTGTAGTATAGTTGCATGATGGAATAATATACAATCATATACAGAAATAAGAAAGATAATTCATGAATGATATATAATTCAAAATAGAAAAAATCTGAAAAACATTCGAAGTGAAAGTAGCCAAACAAGAAATAGTATATACAATATAATTCAACTTATATGAGGGGCAAAAACATGGAAAACTGGTTTGTGATGATGGAGATTGGAGTAGTATGAAACATTATGGTGAGTTCTGACTGGGATGAGACATGATAAAACCATCTAGAATGCTAGAAATGTTCTATAGCTTGATCTGGCAGGCAGAGATGTGCATATATACATGTACAATTTGCACATATGTGTAAAATTTACATATATGTAAAATCTCATTAAGCTATACACTTTCAATTTCTGTACTTTACTATTTGTAAACTATACATCAGTTTTTAAAATATATAGACAGAGATGGCTATTTCTGAAGCTCCATTGGCCTCAGAAAGAACATAAGAACATGGTCCCATGCTAAGTAAGGGACAACAGGAGATGTGGTGTTTTTAAAACACATCTGCAAATTATTTGACACCACTTCCATCCAAAAGATGAAGTCTAATTCCTTTCCCTTTGAATATGGGTAAAAATAGTTATTCACATCTAACAAACATACAAACAAAACACAGAGGAAGTGATGTTTGAAATGTGACATAGCTCCCACTTGGCATGACATTAATTCTCTCTCTCTCTCTCTCCTTCTCTCCATTTTACCTATTAGTATCCCATGGGAAAGAGAATTGGGACAACCTCAACAATGAGTTGGTGATAAGCCATATTTGTTTGTACTAAGAATTGTTTAGAGCTTTAGTTTTAGTTTAGTTTATTAGAAACAAAAATTAGTTTTCTTTGCTGCATACAAATGATTACAAACTTAGTGACTTAAAACCACCTATTTATTATCTTACAATATTTGCGGGTCAGAAGTCCAGACACAGCATAACTGGGTTCTCTGCTCATGGTTTTACATGAGCAGAGATAGGCTGCATTCTCATCTGGAGCTAAAAGCTTTCTTCCCCATGTGGTCAGTTTTTGTCAAAATTCAGTTCCCATTCCCTTGATGGCTGCTAGCATGAGTTTGCTTTCAGCATCTAGAGGCCACCCTCAGGTCCTAGCCATGTGGTCTCCGTGATACGCATTTCACAACATGGATATTTGCTTTCTTCTCTGGGGCTAACAAGACACTCTAATATTTCACTTCATTTGTAAAGGGCTTGTCTAATTAGGTCAGACCCTCATAGGATAACCCCACTTTTGATTATCTAAAAGACACCAACTATTAACCTAATTGTGGAAGTGAAAGCCCATCATTTTCACAGATTCCACCTATACTTAAGGGGAGGAACTTGTACTAGGCATGTGCATCAGTGGGTGGGCATTTTATGGGCCATGTTGGAATTCTGCCTACTACAGTTCCCTTTGCCCTGAATGCAGGGTTCATCATCGTTAATGTCAATCTTAATATGACATTAAAGACCAAGAAAATATTTTTGTGCCTATACATGTACTTATTTGCCTACTGATGAACTTATTCTCTAGGACTTCAAAAAGATATCTGAGACAGGTTATAATTAGGTTAGTATCATTAGAAAAAGGAAATATAAAAGGGATAATGCTGATATCAGGAAACTTCTATCTCTGAACATAAAACTCAGCTCTATACTTCTTAACTTCTAAAACAGAGACGGAAATAACAAGAGCTCTTACTCATGCATGTCTTACTTGCTAGAAAAAGAAACATGGAGTTTCACAGAAAAGACAAACTCTTTTCTAGTCTTGAAATCTGAAGGACTTTTTTCCTTTTCCTTTTTTTCCTGAAAGATCCTTTAGAAAGGGGAAATTTGAACAACGTTGTCCTCAATGGCAGTCTCTGTTTCACAAAAATTCAGGTTATTCAAATACAGCTTTCAACTCTCTATGAAATCCTAGGGCGTGGAAAACAGCAATCTCATAAATGTAAATCTATTCCAGGCACTCAAACATTCTATGTAAGTTAGTTCATTTAACCTTCGCAATAACAATATGAAGTAGGTATCATTATAATTATCCTCACTAACAGAAGAGGAAATTGAGTTGTAGGGAGGCTAGGTAAATTTCCCATAGTCAGATTGGATAAAGAAATGAATTTTGGAAAATACTGAAGAGTTAATAATTAATCAATCTCTTGGGCCCTGTCAAATATTGACTGCCTCACTGGGCTTTTGACAGGGGCTGAATGTCAATCAATTTCTAATTGAGATGAATGGTAGTTCTTAAAGAGTTGCTCTCCTCTGTTATTAATTGAATGGAAATCCATGTGCTCTATAATCTAGAGTCAAGATGCAAAGCTCTTAAATAGGCAAAGATGATATTTCATCAGAAAAATTGAAAAAGTTGAACTTTCATTCTTGCCTTATTGGAAGGGACCTCTGTGTGAAGAGATGGGCAAATTGCCAAATGAGAGCAGGGATAAAGGGAAAAGCAAATGTATGGATATTCATGTGCATTAAGGTCTGAATGAGGTGTTGGCAAAACCCTGGGCTTCTTTTCAGAGAGAAGGAGTTGGTAGAATAGGAAGAGAGAGAAGAAGGAAGATCTCTGAATAGAAATGAAGTAAAAGCAACAAAAATCATAAAAGTTGTGGTGCAGCTTTGTCTCACTGAATTAGGAGATAAATATCAAGGTCTTGTCTGTGTTAATAAGTTGTGAGAATCCTTGAACAGGCCCATCCCACCTGTCCAAGCTTCACCTTCATCTTTGCTAAAATGGAGACTTTTTTAATTCTTAGCTGTCACTTCACAGAGTTTTATTGATATCATTCATACATTCATAAAACCTTTAATCATCACATCTTATGTATCAGAAACTGTTCTAAGCAGTGGGAATGTGAAGATAAAAGACCCAATATTTACCCTCATAGCCTTAAATCCCTCTCAAAAAAAGCAGGGATGGATGGAGAGAGGAAAGAGAAATGACATATGTGGACAGTCTCCAGCCTCATGGTATTTACAGACTTGGAGGGTAATAGGGAATGTAATGAATGTCTAAAAGAGGCTCACAAAATAAATTGTGACATACTGAATGTATATTTGAAAGGGGTGTCTTGGAAAAGCTGACTCCTAGCTTCAATACTGCAAGTGTATAGAAACTGATTCACAGGCAGAGAAATAGGAAGCAGAATGGATGGATGGATGGATGGATGGATGTGAGCGTGGAGAACAGGCTGGGAGAAGAATAGTGAAAAGAACAAGGCTTTGGAATCAATAAGCCCTGCATCCAAATGTAAGGTATATGGTTTACTTCCTGAATGATGGCATGTTCCTTGTGGGATTACTATAAGGATTGCAGACAATTTATGGAAAATGATAAAAACTCAGTGAATGATAGTATAATAATGCTTTCTTCAGTTAGTGAGAAACTGTTGAAAAGGTCCTGAGAAAGCATAGCAATAATTGGAGAGATGGAACTAGAGGTGAGATTACCAGGCTTCCAGCTAAGAAATGGTGAGCACTCACCATAGGTAGTAGCAAAAAGATTGGCAACATGGGGGAGGACATGAAAATGTAAAGTCTCTAGGACTTGGTGAGGGTGATATCTGCTTAGGTATGGCCTCCTGGTCATATGTTGGTGCTCTTCATAGAGGAGGAAAGTTAAGGCAGGAAAATATGTTGCATTGGAGGGATGCAGTAGCGGACAGGAGCAGGGGGAAGAAATGAAGCCAGATTCATCAGTTTCTCCAGCATCCCAAGGAGAAAGGACAGTACATGTGACTAAGGACTTAGTATACCCCTGGGAGCTGATGCTTGGCATCTTCCTCTTTTCCCTTTCTGAATCCATCTCCTATCTTAGAGTCTCAGTCTTCTTGGGCTGTTCTATCATGCCCCCCTTCCAAGGGCAACCCCTAATTTATCAACCATCCCTCCTCACTCTTTTTTCCCCTTCAGCACTCTCATTTTCTCCATGCACAGATTTTAGTTGATCATATAAGTTAAATCACACACAAACCCAAAGGAACACTAACCAATGGTGTAATACGGGCACCCACAGTAAACAGCCTGGTAGCAATCTGTGCTTGGCAGACTGTCCTTCCCAGGACACCTAAAATCACATCATTTAGTTCTCCCATGTGCATCTCCAGTCCTTGATAAAGGCATATGCAAAATCAGAGACAACAAGAACAGAAGGCAGCAAATGGAATATAAAATATTGCCACAACCCCCCCACTCCACCCACTCTTCCAGCAGGAGAAAAGAAGCTGCAGGGAAATTGAGGAGGTGGGAAGACACTTTAGGGCAGAAGATGATTCTCCAGACATAGAGAGCCTTGTATTCCACTGTTCGCACCTGTTATACAATGCTATGCTGTTTTTCAGGCAAGGCAATAAGATTTGAAAAAAATACATATCACCATCAGGACCTACCAAACCATCTGTATGCGTGGGACACTTGAGAGTCTTGGGTAGAGCTACATTGATTTGAAAAAAAATGTAAATATTCATAAATACCAAGATTTGAAAAGTAGATGCCAGGTGGCTCCAGGTGTTCTCGTTACTGAATCAGAAAGTTTGTTCAGTGTACTATTCTGAAAATATGAGCATAGAACCGCACCACTAGAAGTCCCAGGAGACAACTTGCTCTCCTATTCAAATGGGGGCAAATAATCTTTCTTTTAGCTCACCTTCATCTTTCCAGATGATCTAATATGAGAGAAAGAGAGAGGAAGAGGAGGAGGACTGAATTTTTGCAACCAAACTGTGCACGTGTGATCGCGAACTATTTCATCTATAAGCTTCTTTTATGTATAGTACCTTCTAATTTGTTGGTTCTCCTTGTGAATATGATTGAGAACCACTTCTTGGGAGAGATAAGAGACTCTAATGTTGGTTTGTACAGCCTAAATTGTGTGGCCTCTTCTTTCTCCAAGTCCTTCTATATGGACTTAATATACACTCTAAGTCTCAGAGGAAACGGGCTCAGTGCTGGCACATACTTATGCATTCAATAGATGGTAACTGTTATCATGCATACCTGTAGCACAAATTTCACACATAGGATTCCCTTTTTTCCTAAATTCTTGTTTCAGAAATTTTGTGTACATTTTGGGCATATAGAGTCTCTACAACCTATATGGACTCTTGAGATGTTTCGGTAGTCCATTATTGACTTAGTTTCTACTACCAAATCCAATATTTGAACTTGACAAAAGCTTGCTTAAGGTTACTGCTTTCCCTGATTCTCCTAGGAACCCTTGCTTCCTCCCAGGGAGGCTTCTGCTCTCAAACCGTTACTAAAATGGTTGAGTATCAGCTCTAGAAAAGGAATCATCAAGACTGTAGAGGGATGGGGATCCATCTCACCCAGATTTGTTGGTTGTGGGGATAAGCAAGGTACATGCACACGCAGATGGTTAAGTACATATTTGGAAAGCTAGAGATGAGATAATCAAGAACTCATTAGTTTCCTGGTTCTCCGTCTTTCCTTCTGCATTTCCTTTCTTCCTTTCTCCCTTCCTTCCTTCATTTCTTTTTTCCAACAGTAATTATTCTGTGCCTACTACATACAAGGCACTCACTATTCTAGGTATTGGTGATATAAGAATGAACAACACAAACCAGGGTGCTGGTCATCAGGAGCTTACATTTTGGGTGTGGGGGTAGATAGACAACAAACACATGTGCTAATAAATTAGTTAATTTCAGAAAGCAGTAAGTGCTATGAAAACAATAAAACAGATAACATAGTCAAGGGTGACTAGAATAGATAAAGTGGAGAGAAAAAAGCTCTCTGAAGATTTGACATTTGCACCGAGGCCTGAATAACAAGAAGGGCACTTGGATATTTGAGAGAATGCGCATTATAAAGGGAGCAGGAAGTACAAAGGCTCTGAGGTGGAAATATATTTGGCAAGTTCAAAGAATAGAAAGGAGACCTATCTGGCTGACATGTATTAAAAGGGAGAGCAGGAGGAGATGAGGTCAGTGCAATGGGGAAAAGCCACATTACTGTGTAGGGCACAGAGGCCAGAGGCTTTGATAAGACTTTGGATTTCATTCTGATGGGAAGCCATTGGAAGGTCTCAAAGAGAGGAGTGATGTAATCTGATTTACATTTTGCAAGATAATTCTAGCAGATGGGTGGAGAATAGAGTGGAACAAACCAGTCGCCTCACTTCATAATCATTTCTATTATTAGATTTAAAAATAATTCGGTGGAGCCTCTACCCCAATCACTTGCTATTGCCAAGGCTCATCTTCAACTTTAAAGCACCAAGTTTGGTCCCCACACAGAAGTTTATGACAATGTAAAGTAGGCCCTAAAGACAATTCCCAGAAACTCCAATTTGAATGTGCACGTTCTGGCACAATTCCTTCTAAAGTTCCTCTATTTTAACCTCACCTGCATGTTAACTACCACAACACAGATAGTCTCAATCTTATTCCTCCCTGTGTCCTTCAACATCAGGTGAATATTAGAATCACCCAAGGAGACTTTAAAGATCAATAGTCATGCTGTACCACTGATCCATTAAGTCAGGATCTTCAGATGGGTCTCAGGCCTCAGTGTTTGTTAAAGCTTCCCCATGCGATTCCCATGGGCAGCCATGGCAACCACTGCCTCACAAAAAAATGGGCATTTGAGAGCTTCTGTTGGTGACGACAAGTGGCATGGGACAACAGGACATGTGCATTCCCACTGCTATGTCCCTGGAGGCCCCCAGGAAAAGGCATGATGAGCTCTCAAATGGCAGGAACATTCTGAAGCTTGAGCACACAAAGGCTCATGCAGGAGGCCACTCTGCAGTCAGCAGCACGTTGCTCTGCAGTGGGGTGCCCAGAATTGCAGATGAAAATAGAGGACATATTGCCTCTTTAGAAGGAACTCTGGGGACCTTGACAAACTCTATTTTTTTAAAAAAATGAAACAAAGGATGATTTCATCCAAATAGGATGCCTGTGCATCTAGCACCATAAAGATAGATGCCACCCCTGCTCTGAAGTGCCTGACATCCTACAGAGCTCAAAATGTAAAAGCTAACACATCTTGTCAAGCTCTAAAATAAGAGAGGCAGCTTTCCCACTTTCCTATTTAGTTTTTCTACATTTGTTATGCTTAGCTGCTAGGTTAAAACAAAAAAGAAAAGAGAGAAGATAGTAAAATAATCCCTAGCAAAGAGAAAGATGGCATTTTAGTAAAGTGGCATGACCCAGTCGAGCAAGTTTTGCGTGTTTTGTGTGGTGGTGCTTTGTTATGGTTTTCTTTTTTATGACACAGGGGCAGACAATGCAATAGAATCCTAAATCACTTTTTTATAGTTTTCCACATATTTTAGCACTTAATTTCGTTCTGCATTACATGATTTCATACTATTTTAGATGTGTTAATACTGCCAAATCTGGTAAATTTCTTGAGAACGCATTTCTTTTGTAATTTCAACAGCACCTGTTTACAGGTATGTGTTGCCTAGTGATCAAAGATTCCACATTGAGCAACCCAGGTAATACTTGTATTCTATTTTTATATTGTTTCTTTCCTCCCTGGCCCTAACTCCTAATCCTTCAAATCTTTCACCTTTTTATCTGTGCATATATGTGTGTGCGTGTGTGCATGCACATACATGACTTCAAAGGAAGCACAAGGCTCTATATGCTCACCCTAGTAACTATGAAATTTCAGGGCAGGTTGTCAGGAGTCTTAGTAAGTAAGGCACTGTTCTTGAAAGTATACCTACGAGTCACATGCCAAGCTAGTTTAGAGCTAGGTTTCCTATGTTAAGCCTCAGACACCTGCAAGAAGGGCAATGGATTCTATATGAAGGGAAGCTTAGTGAGTCAATACCCAAACCCATAATGGATCAAAATGTTTTGGGAAAAAGAAGTCGTAGAATGAATTCCCCCCCACTCTTTGAGTGCTGATTTAGATCCCCCCAAAATAGTAATTGTAACCTTGAGAAGAGCAAGGCAAACTTCAAAGGTCAAAAACTCATGCAGCCTATATGTAGAAAGTGAAGGTAGCAAGCATGATTAGCTACAATGGAGAAGAGATACTTTAAAGCTCTCAAGAGACAGAACACTTAGTGACATATGGGTGGTGCCACCTGGAATTTTCCAGCACAGAAGCCCTCCACAGGACTTCCTGGGAAGGAAAGGGACCACGAAGTTACCTCCTTTCCTGATTATACACATAGTCATGGAAGACCAAAATCAAAATCTGTCATTGACAGTGAGACACATTGGTCCCCAAAACCTTGAATCCTGCTGAGTCCTGGATCTTAAGCATTTATGAGCCTCAGTTTTCCACTAGTACTGTGGTCTAAGAAACAAGAATCATAGTCATTATTCTGACTAGAAGTTAAAGGAGAGAATTTAAAGAAGGTGAGAATTCAATGTTTCAAGAGTTATAATGTTCCCAAGAAATATTCTATAAAGCAACCCTGGGCAGGCTGATTATTAAAATCATCTGAGGGACTTCTTAACAACAATATAGAGATTCTGGATCTGCTCTGTAATGATCACCATTTCTAAAGGGTGAAGAGAGGCCTGGAATCATTTATAAAATGTTCCCTGGATGATCCTGTTGATAGATGACTGTTTTGGATAACACTGTTTTGTATTTACCAAAAAGTATAATTTACACAACCAATTAGCAGATTGTGCCCTTGACTATTTCATAACTCATAGAATAGTCTTTAATCAGTTTCCTCTTATAAGGTCTCAGTATCACCATCAGGAAAATGAGACTAATAATTAATGATCTCTAATTTTGCTGCAGAAAAGAGCTCCTTGGTGAGGAAGGCACAGAGTTGACAAGTTGCTTTCTTCTCAGTTGGATTTGCTATCATGGATTCACGTTCATAGCATGTCTGAGATCTAGATTAACATAAACAAAAAATAATCTTCTCTTGTCTCAGACTGGTAATAATGTAATAGGCTCTTTTAGCTACTTCTAAACGATGTTTGCTTTAAAACAACTCTCTATAGGGCAAAACTCCACTGAAAATTTCTAAAGTCCTGCACACTTTATGTAGGGGATTTCAACCTCTGCAAACTTACCAGAAAGAGGAACCAGGGTTGAGGCTAAAATGTAAAGAATGGAGACTGATAGAGACTTTTTTACCAAGAGGGTCACAGAAGTTCGAAATTATTTATTTAAAAGGAGGTGGGGGCCAGGCGCGGTGGCTCACACCTGTAATCCCAGCACTTTGGGAGGCTGAGGCGGGAGGATCACCTGAGGTCAGGAGTTCGAGACCAGACTGACCAACATGGTGAAATCTCACCTCTGCTAAAAATACAAAATTAGCTGGGTGTGGTGATGCGCACCTGTAATCTCAGCTACTCAGGAGGCTGAGGCAGGAGAATTGCTTGAACCCGGGAGGCAGAGGTTGCAGGGAGCCGAGATCGCACCATTGCTCTCCAGCCTGGGCAACAAGAGTGAAATGCCGTCTTGAAAAAAAAAAGGAGGTGGGTTACGTAGAAAAACAACGGGGATGACAGTATATGACTTGGTGGCAAGAAGCCAGGCAA
This sequence comes from Homo sapiens, assembly GCF_000001405.40. Taxonomy (NCBI): domain Eukaryota; kingdom Metazoa; phylum Chordata; class Mammalia; order Primates; family Hominidae; genus Homo; species Homo sapiens. The sequence goes on from NC_000011.10 coordinate 109,818,455, forward strand.
AGCAGAAAATGAAACTAAAAAGGTCTAATATGTAAAATGCAGTGTGGTTTGATAGAATGGGAGACAGGGTACTGGGTTGAAGCCTGGCTTTACGTCGTTCCTCTTCCCTTAGCACCTTGTCCATAGGTCAGTCACAGCACTTCTAAAGTGGACCGATTTATATGTCGTGTCTCTTTTCTTCTGCTAGGTTGTAAACTTGCTGAGCACAGGAAACATGCATATGGGTCTTTGGATTCCTGGTCTTTAACAGATATTCCTGCACATGGCTGATAAATGTTGATTGACTCAGTTAAGCAGTATAGTCTTGAGATCATTATCTGTGGAATGGTTTTGCAGAAGTTCCATGAGTTAATAAAATGTTGAAAATACAAAAATTTGTCCCTAAAACAAGGATCTTGATCAGTCCCTAGAATAAAATGTTTGGGATTTATCCACAAGAGTTAATTAAGCTGCATATGGTTCTTGTTGTTTTGTTCTGTTTTGTTTTTTACTAAACTTGTCCTTTTTATTAAGCGTTTAAGAAACTGTATCACAGCTTCTCCACTGAAGTCATGCATCTGATGTTTAGGCTCTGCTGATAACCTCACTGCATTGCCTTTACAATGTGTGGGATAAAAGGATGCAACCCATGGGTGTCTGTGACCAGTTCTGTTAATAATTGTTTTCCTTTTCTCATTATACTTTGACATTTTAGAAGCCAAATGCTGTTCCACACTCTATTAGCCTCTTGCACTGGATTGGGACTGAAGTTTGGAACAAAGAGAAAGTAAAAATGTAAAAACATGTAAGACTGAAATGGCAAAACTAGGATAATAACTTTAGCACAAATCACCTGCTGACACCTGGAAATTAAGGAGCAATCACTTACACAGACAGATCAAAGGAAAGGTGTGAAGAGCCAGGGACAGAGCAGCCTGCCCCAGATGCTGGTCAGTTCCTTTCTCATGGGTGTTACCAGAGTATCAGACAGCCATTGTTGCAAAATATACAACCACAAAATTTCAGTGTCATACAACATTGAGGTGTTGATTTCATTCACATCTGGCTGATTTAGGCTGGGCTTGGCTGGGCAGCTGTAAGCTGCTGATTGCACCTAAGTCTGCCTGAGGCTTCATCCTTCTTCAATTAAATGCTTTCCAGGGGAAAATTAACTCATGGCAACGTGAGAGAAACGAGAGGCTGCACAACCAGGCAAGCCCTGACCACATAGCCAAGCCCAAACTCAAGGAGGTAGTGAAGCATGTTTTTTCCACGGAAGTGTCAGAGAAGGAAGTAAATATTTTGGAATGACTAATGTCCATAGGCAGAGGCCTAGTCTGAAGCATTTCTATAATAATGGAGATAATTGTGCTAAAGAAGTCAAGGGTAGGTGATTCTTGTATTTTTAAGTCCCGGATATTTTTACTGGGAAATGTTGCTGATAGGACAATGAGTTGATACTATCTTTCTAGGGCATATTTGCAATATATATTAGCAATTTCTTACCTATTGACTTCTAAGAATTTGTCTGAGATGTATAGAAAGATTTTTATATAAAGTCATCCACCTCACTTTTATATTAGTGAAATACTGGGGAAAATTACAGGTGTTTGGTTGAATAAAATATGTGACATCCAGATAATGGAATATTTATGCCACATTTCAGTGATGTTATACCAGAATATTTAATGACATGGGACAGTATTGCCAATATTCTTGCTTAATGAAAAAAAGCACGTTACAAAACAGCAGATATTTTGTTTTTAAATCATGTATATATGGGTATTCATACTAAGATTCTGTAGGGATATCAAATAAAATATAATAATAGTTATTTGTGGATGGAGCTAATTTTCATCTGAAATTTATTCTATCTACTATGATCTGAATGTTGGTGTTTCCCCCAGAGTTGATTCATTTGAACTTAATACCCAATGTAATAATAATATTAAGAGGTGGGGTCTTTGGGGATGAGATTTGTGTCCTTATAAATGAATTTGAAGGGAGCTGCCTTGCCTTTCCAACACATGAGGTCACAGGAAGAAAGCACCATCTTGGAAGTAGAGAGCAAGATCTCACCAGACATTGAAAGTGTCGTTGCCTTGATCTTGGACTTCCCAGCCTCCAGAAGTATGAACAATAAATTTCTGTTATTTATAAATTACCCAGTCTAATATATTTTGTTGTAGCAGTCCAAATGAGAAAAGACACCACCCTCAGCACTAGAGGAAGAATAGATTATCTGGGGACTGTACTTTCCTGTGTCTAGGATGGACCATGGTTTTGCTTCTGAAAACGGAAGTGAGTAGAAGAGATGTTTGCCCATAAATTTTTGCACGAGAGTTCTTTTCTCTCTTCCTGCTGGCTGGAATGTTGATGGCTAGAATAAACTTGGAAGACACATTGAAAATGAAGAAACTACTACCCAATTTAAAATACACTCAGGACTCTAATATGAAAGAGAAATTAATTTTTGTAATCTTTAATTCACTCAATTTGGGGGTGACTTTATTATAGCAGCTAGCATAAACTCTGACTAATATAGTGGGCTTCCTAGTGATTTTTATTTTCTCCATAATTTTCTACATTTTCCAAAATTCCTTTTTTAGCTAAATAGCAATGTTGTCATTAACAGAAAAAATAGCAAATATTTTTTCAAACCTGGACATCTTACTCCAAGATTTCCTCAAAATAATGAATGACAAATGCTTCGAACAGGTACTTTTTTTGGTTTTCTTTTCATCCTGATTAAATATATAGGGCAGAAAAACTACAGTGATTTCTGAATCCTGCCATTTCTGATACATTCCCCATATTTTGAAATACTTTTTTTAACCAAGAAAGTTTAAAAGTAGAATTTAAAATGTGAGATTCAAACCAAATTGGATTTCAGTTTCCTTCTGAGACTTGGATAAGTTGCCTAACCTCTTAAAACCGAGTCTCGGTTTTTCTCATGTGCAAACCTTCAAAAATTGTTGTGAGAATCAAATGAGTGGGTTAGGGAGTAAAAACTATATCCCAAGGTATAGCACATCATTATGAATGCTCTCTTGAGATGTAAGTTTCCTTTATTTCATTTCCTTTATCTACAAAAATTTGATCCTTGAGAACAAACACTTAATATTGAGAAATGTGTGAAATACACAATTTTGTCTTCTTAATCTTGCATTTTGACCTCTCATCCAAATATTTCACATTATTCTGGGCAGGAGAATTATAGCATTACATGACTAAATATGCCACTGAATTCCTCTTCCATGTTCATTTTCCCATTAGGCATCTGGCCAGTTGAGTTAGGAAGGGAACATGCTGACAGGCTTTTCAAGGTTAGCACAATACCCCTCCACCCCTTCTCTAGTTTATATTTCGCAAAATATAGCTGAGGCAGAGAACTGTGTTGCTCTAGGCGGAAATTAGAACCTACTTTGTATAAACACAATTAAAAAGTAAAGAGGAGGGGGAGATGCAAACAGAAAAAAGCCACAGTCTGCAAAAGCACTGTATGGGAATTTCACTGCATATGTTTTCTGAAAGACTAGAAATAACAGTATACATACATAATTATGAAGCTCAAATTAAGCTCAGTAACTCCTACAGCCACTCTTAACCTTTTCTTTATTCTGTACCTCTCCTGTCTCATTAAATTAGAATACTGAATCTACTTTAAATCTTATACTTTACATCTATGGACAAAGCATGTGGGCACGTGCGCACACACACACACACACAAACACACTTTTAGATTTTAGCTCTCCTGTTTTTGTTCTTCCCTTTAAGAATATTCTTTTTATATGTCTCTCCCACCCCCACCCCCAATATATTTTTCCATTATTCTTTTGACCTCATCGCCTCCCAACTGCTAGGTTCTTCAGTCTTCTTTTCTTCTCCTTAATATTTTCCTGCCTTGTGTATTCTACATTGTATACATTCCCACTTTTCTGAATCTTGTCAAGGTGAATATGATGAAGTTGTCAGAAAGATGTGTTCACTTATGGTCCCCTTAAATTGCCATGCTGCATTTTAACAGTCGCTTGTATGAATGTGAGATTTTAAATAAACTCTCCCGAAATAGCTCTCAGTGAAAATAAAAAATAAGAATGAGAAAGTTTTTATGTATATGGACTTGCTGATATCTAGCATGAAACACTAATTCTGCCTGGGATGCTTTTCTCTCAGGGAGCATTTGCATTCTTGCACCAAATAGGACTGAAATTGCCATAATGAATATCTGAACAACACCCTCTGTTTCATGGTTTTGAACTCAATTTGATTCATGGCACTACTTTCAAAGCTGCATTCCCCTGGAGCAAACAAAGTAGTCAGACATGAAATCTGGGCACCAGGTACCAGGTCAGGAGTTCACCAAGGTTCAAGGCAAGGAACTATAAACGACATTCATACGGAGATGCCCAATTGTTATTCCCAGAGAAACCAGAGAACTGGCCAGTTAGCCAAGAGAGGAGCAGGCCGTGGGAGAGAGGCGACTCACATGAATCTTGAAGATCCTGATGCCTCAGTAGTGTTTGAGCAGGGTTATGAGGAGCAGCCCACATGAACCTATGAGAGAATTATAGATGTGTGAACTCTATCATTTGCAGAGAAGTGGCAGGGAGGAATCAGGTGATTGAGGCTGTTTTAAAAAGGACACAAAATCCTGCAAGATGAATGGAAATGACAATTAATAGTATGCCTACCATTTATAGAGCACTTTTCTCCAACCATGCATTACTCTAAATGTGTCTCATGTATTATCTCATCTAAATATAGGAGGGATGGCCCATCAGAGAAAATCATGGAGAATCAAAAATTAGAATTGGAGAATCCTGGGAGAAATAGGACCAAGGAGGTCTCAGCCAGAAATGAAAGAAAAGCACTTTTAGCAGATAAAATAAACCATTAGATAAACAGATGCTTTTTCTTTGGACCAATACTTTCTTGAATAAAGACATATGCAAATTACAAATTATTGCACCCTTATTGTATCTGCACTGTGCTAAGCCTTGTGCTTACATTATCTTTTTTAGTCTTCACAAGAAGTCTGAAATGTAGATATCTTACAAAAAAACTTGGGTTTTGAGATTTTTGGTAACTTCTCCAAAATTATAGAGCAAGAAAATGCTGGAGGCAGACTTTAAACCCATAACCACTTTTTCCCCAGTCTCTGGCCTTTAACCACCACAGTATACCATCTCTGGTCTTTCTTTTTCTCTCTTCCTATCTGGATTCTTTCTGTTGGCGATAGTTTTCCTCTCACCCTCATCGACGAATATGAACCTGTACGTATTTGCGTTAAGAGAAACCATGAAATAAAGACTTGATTACATTCATCAGGACAGAATGTCTAAACTCTTCTCCTGAGGCACAATTGACACCATCCTAAACTCAGCAAAAGCACACAACACTCTTTCACTCTTTCACCAATCCTATTCACACTTCAGATGAGATCAAACTCTCCTGATGCCAAGTGCTTAACGCGACATCATACAGCCCAGCTTTGTGTCATAATAGCAGCCTGCATTTCTTTAGCACATGCCATCCCCACTGATACCAGAGCAAACTACAACGATGGCCCAATATGCATCTTTATTTAGGTTTCTCTTTACCCACTGGGCACACAGTTTCTCAGATCCTTGAAGAATTTTCCAAGAGTTCTAAAGAAGAATGAAGAAAATGTGCTGGATAGCCATTTTTAAAAGAATAAATTTGAAGCTAGAAAACTTTATAACTATATAGAACTGTTTAATGCCATAGAGGTTAAATGTAATAATGTAATGCTAAATGCTACATTTAACCCCTATGGCATTAAACAATTCTGTATAGTTATAAATATTTTCTAGCTTCAAATATATTCTTTTTAAAATGGCTATGCAGCACAAGTTCTCTTCATTCTTGCTACATTCATGCTACATTCTGGAGCCCCAAGAATATTTTTCTTTGAAAGGTAACACCGTGCTAACAGCCTCTCTAATTCTGTTTTCTATATTTTAAAAAATTAAATGTTTGCTTGCTTAATAACCATTGTGTCTCTCTACTGTCCTTAGTGCTAGTTGAATCTTTTGAATGAGTGCAATGTTTTTCATCACAGCCTGCAGAGAAAATGTCTTCTCAACCATAGCACTCATGAATTGTTCACTTACAAATAAGTCAACATATTGTGAACACCATTTGGGTACTCATCTAGGTGCTGGAACGTAAGGGGTAGGGGCAAAAATACAGAAGATGTAAAAACTATACCTGCTTTCAAGAATCTCACAATATCACAGGAGAAGCAGAGTCTGCACACTTCACCACTTAATGTTGCCACCTCTGCAGTTGAGAACTCAATGTACTGGAAGTTGCAATGATCCACTATTGATGGGGCTGGAAGCTGTGTTGACTTACAGTTTGGCTCCACAGGAAAAAAAAATCTGTTGATATTTCAAAGACTTATGAAAGAGGCTCTTGGGAAAGAGTAAGAACTTGGGAAAGAGTAAGAACCAGGGCCCAAGTGTTCACATAGCCATGGAAAGGGGTGGGATTATCTAGGGAGGGAGTTCAGGTGTAAGGGAGAAGCTAATAAAGGAAACTGACAAGGGATGGCCTACTGGTAAGAGGAAACCATAAGAATGTGATGCTAGAATGGCCTAATAGGAAAATGTTTCACAGCGAGGTGGTTTATCAGTCTAGAAAAGTATCTTTTGCATTTGGCAACACATAAGTCGCAGTGATACTCATTGATGTGGTTTTGGTGGCATAATAAATACAGAAGCCATATTAGAAAAGAAAAGGGGAAACAAGTTATATGGACAATTTTTTCTAGCAGTTTGGGTGGAGGGATGTTGACTAGAGGGATATGATGACATGGTAAGTTTTCATTTCATTTTTTTAAATTAAGATGGGAAATATCCAAACATATAGGAATGACCCCATGGAGACATAGGGATTGATTATGTTTGAGAGAAAAGATAATTGAAGTAGGAAAATTCTTGAAAAACTGATAACAAAAATATAATTAAAAAGGAGGGAGGGGCTAAAGAAGAGACTCATCCAATATCTCTAGCTGGTTAATGGAAGTAAATGGATTAGAACTCAGGCCTATGCTTTTTTTTTCTCAACCACAGCTTTTTAATGCCATTTGCTATTTATTTTTTATCCCAACAGTCTATAACAGTGAGGCAAAGAGAAAGAAGCAGTAATGTTTTCATGACAATTCAATTGCACAAATTAAGTTTCACTGTTAAGGCACAAATGGATTTTCAAAGAACATTCAGTGAAAATATAAATGTAATTAAGAGAAAAGACAAGATACATGTCAGAGATCAGTATAGTTGAACAATGGCATTTTGATTCCTGTATTTGCATGGTATAGTGATTAAGGTGAGCTTAGTCAAGCTTTACAGTATACTCAAGTATCTTTTAGTTGTGTAATTTCCCAACATATCAATCCCCAGGAAGCTGGAAACCTCAGTTATTTTGGAGTGTTTTCCCTGGTCATTCCTTCTTGCTTATGGGACTCTCATTAGCTTGGTTTCTACTTCTCCTCCAAGTTCTAGTTGAAATTATGAGACCACCACAAGGAAATGGAGAAGGTGGAATACAGTGTTTCATCTCATCCAGGACCATCAATAAAGCATCAAGCATATTGGGGGTTTTATTTTATTTCATTTATCAAATATTCAGTGTGAATTTTGTGCCAGAAACTAAGTTGGGCTATCTTCACTCTAGGTTGTGAAGTTGTGTTTCAATAAAAGTGCAAGAAACAAAAAAAAATTAAAAATAAAGGATCTTATATAAGGCAGAATAAGTTCTGTTCATTTATTCTGACAAGTCTGATGGAGTTTTAATTACAAAAACATGTAACAATACACAGATAAGCTTATTGTTGTACATCATGTAAAGTTAATGAAATAATTATAATGAAGGATCTCACTGTGGCAACAGGCAGCTTAATCCTTGTAACTTTTGCAAAGAGAGAGACACTATCAGAGTGTGTGTGTACATGTAATACTATAAAATTTGTTCTGGCATCTAAAAGTAAAGGTTGATATTCATCTTCATACTCAGATATATATACTCATCTAGGTTTTCAATTTGTATTGTGTGTGTGTGCATCTGTGCACACGTGTGTGGTTTTGCAGGCAGTAAGTAGATTCTATTTATGTTTTGTCTCCTTAAAAGATGGGAATTTCTTGATGGCAAAAATTCCAGCTTCATTCCTAATGTATTCCTCTCACTGCCATCATTTGTAGAGTGTTCAAGACACCATTCACTCCTGCAGCCATTGCTACTGCTGGAGCTGAAGCCCAGGTCAGAGATGGGTATTCTGGTAGAGATATGGAGGTAGGGAAGCCAATGTTGATACGTAGATAAATCAGCAGTTGACAACAAAGGGTTAGCATTTAGATCATTTTGCCTAGAGTAATGAGGAAGGACTAAATGAATTTAGATTTGAAGGCATACAGACAAAAAGACTAGGATTCCCCAGATCTAAGAATTAAGGACTAATGTTTAAAGGTTGTCCAAAAAAACTAATAAAATTAAACACGGCTTCTTGGATTTTTTCTCCTATAGGCTTCAGAAAAGTTTTGGAAGGTAAAATAAACTCTAAAATATATTTTTAGACTACTTATCCAATGAAATAGTGCTATTTAGCCATTTGCTTAGTGTCACTTTTCCCAGAATATAAGAAATTGGGATAATTATTCCACAGGAACAGACATAACCCTGGCAAGTTAAATTTTTCCTAAAAGGAAATATATCTTATGCTATCTCATACCGATACAAAGCTTTGTCCAGAGCTAAACAAAACTATTATAAGATTGTAGTAATCTGAGAATTTGAATCAGATCTAAATTATATTACAAATATTAACTATTAATCTGTGACTGAAAGGTTGGTGGATTTGATTCTCTGCTGTCTATATTTGTAGAGCAGCATCTATTCAGCCATTGGAACTAGAATAATTGCATTGAGGCAGTCATCGTTCAGAATTAAATCTTATCTTTTTAATTATCATACATTGAAAGTGGGGGAAAAATTGAACATGATTGGCACCTTAATGCTATTTTAGTAGAATCAGACTCAATTATGGTATTTAGCAATATAATCTCAGTCTCATGGGGTATGACCATACATGTTCTCCATGACTGATTCCTACACATACTTTATCTAGAAATGATTTTATTAACCCATTGACTCCAATACGGAGCAATAAACAGACACAAGTTGGTAGGATTTGGCTCTGTGCTCCGACCCAAATCGCACCTTGAATTACAATCCCCATATTCTCTACATGTCAAGGGTGGGACCAGGTGGAGGTAATTGAATCATGGGGGCAGTTTCCCCCATGCTGTTCTCATAATGAGTGAGTCTCATGAGATCTGATGGTTTTATACACATCTGGCATTTCTCCTGCTTGCACTCACTCGTCCTGCTGCCCTGTGAAAAAGGTGCCTGCTTCTCATTTGCTTTCCGCCATGATGGTAAGTTTCCTGAGGCCACTCCAGCAATGTGGAACTGTGAGTCAATTAAATATCTTTCCTTAATAAATTACCCAACCTCAGGCAGTTCTTCATAGCAGTATGAGAATGAACTGATACAAAAGTCATCTAGGTTTAAAATGGGCCTCACATATTACTCCAGAGAAAATTTTTATAGTCAGGTAACTGAGCAGAAATGAAACTTCAGGTTCTACGTAGGCATTGGCTTCACACCTGACCCAGTGGTTTTCCTAGTATTTTAAAATCTGGAGGGGAAATACAACAGATATAATTAAATACGTCTATCTGTGAACACATATGTCTGTCAAAAAGGCCCTGGGAAAGTTTTCCAAAATCCTAGACCTTCTGAAGTTACTTTTTATGCAATACTCAGATTTTATTCTTTTAACAAGAAAAAAAAGTCATTTTGTGTTAGTGACCTTGCTGTTAAATTTAAGTCAATTTTTTAAAAGTCACTGAAATGTCAGCAAATTAGTGTCTGTTCACAAATCTCTCTGACTTGTTCTAATTGATTTGACACCCCATAACACATAAGCACTGCATTGGCATTCTGCAAGGAGGTCATTCATAAAATTGAAAAATGGAAAGTGTCTAAGCATTGATCATCATACTTCCCACGAGGAGCAATCTGCAAACAAGATCTTACTTCCTTTCACACAGGATAAGTGGATAACTTGTAGGCTGCCATCTGCTCACAATTATATTGTAAATAACTAAATATTCAAGTAACCACAGCTTAAATAAAAATGCAAGAACATTTTGTGCTTTGTCAGAGAGGGCAAATAAGTTTCATCTTTATATATATATATAAATGCCAATCAGCCAACAATGGCAGATTCAAGTGTGTTGAAGAAGATTCTCAGGTCACATCTAGGCTCAACAGGAAAAAAATGCTTTGATGCAACGACTACAAAATGGTCATATGTCAGAAATTTACCATCCCTGGGATAGAACCTCATGGGAGATGACAATGGCATGTGTTAAACAATTATGGGCAGTTTCCATGCCAGTTAAGCAAAACCAAGAGAGACACTATTGTCAGTTTTCCTAATATTCATTCAAGTGAAAGTTGATTATCAATATCAACATTGACTTTTAAGCTAGATTCAAATTTATCTGGGAATATGCAAACTTCCAATTTGCTGCTTAAGCAAGTAATTTTAAAAAATCATCATAATATTTGTATTATTTTGTACTTGGGATCTATGTGATATTTGCTTAGTCTATCAGTTATGTTTGATCTAAAAATTAAAATTTTGTCTCAAAAATTTCCTATAAGATCTACAAGGCAGGAATATGTATTCATATAAGAGAAAAGGAACAGCTAGACAAGCTCCAAATGGAGAAATCACTATGTTTGTTTTTGCATTTCTAGCAAGACATAGAAGAAACCATCCTGAAGTTTATGAAATTAATATTATTTCTTAAGTCTTCTATTTCTTGAAAAAAATCCAAAGTATGACAGATCTGAATAGACAGCCTCAAACATAGTAATACTATTCTTAATAAATGTAAAAACCTTTCTTTTTTAAAAAATGTGTAAGACAGGTTTCCATTGATGTATAAGAGTTATTTCTCATGACTCAGAACAATGTGTCTGAATTTTTTAGTTACTGCAGGAGACTTGTTGAAAGATTCCAGAAGGAGATATTTTGCTTCTCTTGTTCTGGATGTTGGGCTTCATTTTTTGTTAAACTACGTATTCTAGTTGATTCTCAAGTGCAGCTTCTTCTGTATGGTAAAGGTATCTATAGACTCATTAGATTGCCAGATACCCCATCAAAATATACACTGTCTTTTTCTAAAAAGTTGAAGTTCCTGATCTCCTAATATAGTATCCTATATCAGAAACATGCAAGTATTGCCATTCCTTTTCACTTTGCTTAGGAAATAGGTAAAGAGGAATAAGATTTTTGGATGTTAACAATCTGTCATCAGCATTTGATTCTATGAACTCTACTAGAATAAAAATGTTCAGGATCCTGTTTACAATAGGAAAGTCATAATCAACCTAGGTGTCCCTCAACAGTTGATTGGATAAAGAAAATGTGGTATATATCACCATGGAATACTATGCAGCCATAAAAAATGAAGTTATGTCCTTTGCAGCAACAAGGACGGAGCCAGAGGCCATTATCCTAAACGAAATAACTCAGAAACAGAAAATCAAATACTACATGTCCTCACTTACAAGTGGAAGCTAAACAATGGGTGCATAAAAATGGAAACCATAGACAGTGGGGACTCCAATGGGGGAAGGTTGGGAGCAGGTGAGAATTGAAAAAATTATCTATTGGGTACAATGGTCACTATTTGGATGATGGGTACACTAGAAGCCCAAATCTCACATTATGCAATATATCCATGTAATAAACCTGCATGTGTACCCCAAATTTAAAATAAAGATTAAAAATAATTTTTTAAAAAAACGTGCAGGATTTCCTAATTTATCATATTACCATTCTTATGAATCAGAGCCATTACTTACTCTTTTTTTCTAGTTTTGTTGAAATTTTAAATAATATGGCATATAACACAGATGATTAGGAAGATAAGACCAGTTGTCTATGGCCAAAGGTCTCATAAGTTGCCATTTATCAATAGAGTTTGGTCATGTCAGATTTTGTTGGCTCACTGATGATGGGTCAATTACCATTTTTGCAATGTATATGTTTGTAACTTTTCAAAGTCTTTCTCCAATAAAATACATGTAATGTATTAGGAGTATACTTACTAATTTATAACTTACGGGAGGCTGAGGCAAGAGGAACACTTGAGTGCAGGAGTTGGAGACCAGCCTAGGTAGCATAGGGAGACTCCATCTCTACAAAAACAAATTTAAAAATTAGCCAGGAAAAGTGGCACACGCTTGTGGTCCCAGCTTCTCCAGAGGCTGAGATAGGAGGATTGCTTGGGCCAGGAGGTTGAGGCTGCAGTGAGCTATGACTGCAACACTGAACTCCAGCCTGGGCAACAGAACAAGATCTTGTCTCAGTCAATTAATCAATCGATCAATCAATAAAAATTCAGCTCTTTATACCTTTACAGATGATTTCTCCTTTAGATAACTAGTCCTATTTATTGTATATGAATATTGCTAATTTAATTTTCAAAGGATTGTTCACCTCCAAACATTTTAATAGCTCTGTGCATTTCTTAGATTAACTAGATACATACAATTTTGCCTCGGCAAACAAGAAGAAAAATATCCTTCTCTACACAGACAATATGTTCTTTTCTCCCAAAGCTACTCCTAATAAGATGAAAATAGCCAACAAATGAAGATTTTCTTTCAGGCAGCCAAAACGAATCCCAGGGTGCCCGTCCTTGCCAGAGACTTTAACCTTGAATTGACGGCTCTCCAACTCCTGTCAAAGGCCTGACTGACAGATAGAAGATCCCACAAGCAAGCGTCATTGCACCGTTGCACCGAACAGCGCATTCTTGCCCCAAAGGCAAAGCTGTGTTGGCTATAACAGGGAGCTCAAGGCTCACTGGTTCAGCTGTGAAATTAAGTTGAAGTAAAGATGACACACATTTCTCTCCTAGGATTCTGACACCAAAACAGCCCTGGAAGCTATTGGGGAAGTGCAGAGGAAAGGGGAAATTTGAGCCCACCTCACGTCCATGCAATGATTTTCCTACACAGGGGTATGTTAACCTTAGAGGTATAAGATATAGATGATCACTCCCAAAATAAAAATACCTGGTTGAGTGTCCCTTTTGGCATATCCATTTGAAAATAAGCCACCTGAGGCCCAGAGAGTCTGTGATTTACCCAATGTACACCACTAAAAAGATAGCAAAGGAAGGACCAGAACTAGATCACTAGAGCCTAGTCCATGCTTCAGTTGTCTTTCAAGAACATGGCAATTAAGCCAGAGATTCAAAACACCTTGATAATTATTCAAACAATTCTATTGAGCACCTGTGCAGGGCCAAGCCCCATGTGAGGCACCTCAGGAGATCAGATGAAGTATGAAACACTGTCTATTACTCCATGGAACTTATTGAGTATTTCACAAGAGATTGACACATGAAACGATCAGCAAATAGGACTCCTATCTTGCTACCATGACGTCCTTCCTAACTCATCCCATCTGTCGCCAGAGGTCTGCTGAGGTTACGTGGTGCCCCAGGTACACCCGGAGGTGGGGTGAAAAAGCACTCACAAACACTCCCTTGTCCTCCTTCCCTGGAGTGTCTTCAAAGTATTGTTTTATTTATGCTCTTGTGTGGACTGAATGCTAACTATACGTTCTATTTTCGATAACCTATTTGATCCTCACAGGAAACCTGTGAAATAGGCAGTACTCTATTGTCCCCATGTGGAAATGGAAAGTTTAAGTCTTTGGCTAGAAATTTTAATTAAATTGACATGGTCACACAGCCAGTAAGTAGGAGAGATAGGATTCAATTTTACTTTTTTCTGACTCCAAAGCCAACACCTTTCTTGCACACTGTCTTCCAAGCTGTTATCTCATTTGATCCTTGATCCAGAGGAGGGAAAGGACCAATCACCTTCACTCTACTGTGAGGCAATGTCCTTCATCCTTGGTTCTGCTTCAGTCAAATCCAGTTTTCCTTCTATACCCCATGAACGTGGTAATAGCATTCATGCAGCCTCTGAAGTTGTACCAAGGGCTTTCATGTGTTTAGCTAGTCCGTGTACAACAGCAAAGTTTAAATGCTTTGTCATTTATATTAGCATGTATAGAGAAGCCATCTGCTATAGTCTTCTGACAATTTAAGTCTGAAGTAGCTGACTAGAGCAGTATGTCCCTGGATAATTTCTGAGAATTAATAGAATGTGACGTTCTTTGTGCAGTTAAAATGAGGGATCCTCATGAGACAGGTGATAGCCATAGGCCCACTTGTTAATACTGTTGTGTGTGTATGTGTTGCGTGTGTGTGTGTGTGTGTGTGACTCCCAAAATGTACTCAGATGGAAAGTTAACACACTATTTTTGTGATTTTAGGCAGAATCGCACCTTCTTTAAGACTCACGCTCTGATAAACTGAGGGTAAAAATAATTCATGGGATTATTATGAGACTGAAATGAGCTAATTTATGCAAACATCTCCCAAAAGGTGTCTTGTAAATAAAAGGCATTCACAGAACATTTATTCATTTTTTTCTATAACTATTAAGCACCTATGTCTACAGTGTGCCAGACTCCAAGGATATGAAGATGAAGAAGGCACACGAGCTAGATGGATGAATGGCTGGCGAGTTAATGTGGGCTCTTTATTAAGAGGAATTCCATGCTAAGGAAGACCTTGTTTAAGACTCGTATCCACAGAATGTTTTCAGCTATAATTTTACTCTTCATTATTGAGAACACACCTTTGCACATCTATGTAGTTTTAGAAAATCTTGTTTCTAATTTATTCTGTTTTAATTCCCTTTGTAACTTCTTGCCTTTCAACTTTAATTTTTATTTTATGTTATGACCTATTTTATGTTTCCTTTTCTTCTTACTTTAACTGGTTTTAATGTTTTACTCCATACTTTTAAACCTGATTAAAGTTATTTTAAAATATTTTCCTTATTTCTATAGCATTTATCATTTAAAATTCTATGTTTCTTTAGTATTTTACATTTTGAATGTGTATCTTGGCCGGGCACGGTGGCTCACAACTGTAATCCCAGCACTTTGGGAGGCTGAGGAGGGCAGATCACCTGAGGTCAGGAGTTCGAGACCAGCCCGGCCAAAATGGTGAAACCCCGTCTCTACTAAAAATACAAAAATTTTGCCAGGTGTGGTGGCAGGTGCCTGTAATCCCAGCTACTCGGGAGGTTGAGGCAGAAGAATCACTTAAACCCGGGAGGCAGAGGCTGCAATGAGCTGAGATCGCATTATTGCACTCCAGCCTGGGAGACAAAAGGAAACTCCATCTCAAAACAACAACAACAAAAAAGAATGCATATCTTAATATCTTTTTTATGATTTCATTTTAAATTTTTCTTTTCTTAAGGTACAATTACATTGGGTATCATGATTTGCTTTCCCAATAACTGGTAGGAATGGTAGCGGTAGTAGAAGAAGCCCACAATAGAGAGAAGAGTAGCTGGGGCTGGGCGCAGTAGCTTACGCCTATAATCTCAACAGTTTGGGAGGCAGAGGCGGGCAGATCACCTAAGATCAGGAGTTCGAGACCAGCCTAGCCAACATGGCGAAACCCTGTCTCTACTGAAAATACAAAAATTAGCTGGGCATGGTGGCAGGTGCCTGTAATCCCAGCCACTTGAAAGGCTGAGGCAGGAGAATCACTTGAACCCGGGAGGCAAAGGTTGCAGTGAACCAAGATCATGCCACTGCACTCTAGCCTGGGTGACAGAGCGAGACTCAGTCTCAAAAAAAAAAAAAAAAAAAAAAAGCCATTGAAAGCTTTTCTCCCACCAGCTCTCTCTTTAATAATAATAATAATAATAATAATAATAATAATAATAATAATAAACCTTTTCCAACCTCCCCTTCAGTAGAGGTTCTGGCAAGCTAACAGACTTTCCTGGGAATAGCACTGCGGTGGGCAAGTCAGTATCACAAAGAGCTGGTGAGGGAGGGAGCTGGGAGAAATTCCGGCCTCTGTGATCCAAAACTCTGCCCCCTCTCTCACCCCTACTGCCTGCTTAGCCCTTTTAAATGACTGATAATCAAACATATTCTATTAGTAAGTCAGTCATCCTTACCTAAAGGTAAATTTTGTAAATATTGTAACCAGAAAGGTTACCACTCTGAGTCTCTAGTAGTGGGAACATTCTCAAGCTTTTTATTTTTTTTCCTATGATAGGAAATTAGTAATGGCTCCTTTGTCATGTTTCTCAGCCAAGATTAATATTGCACAAAATTTAGCGCCCTCATAATACACTTGTTCACATGCTGAGGCAGATACAGGCTCTTTCTGGCTGAAACCTTGGCATTGGTGGCAGGTATTTCCTTGCCTACTTCCCTTAGCTTATAGAGTAACCAGTTCAGGACTAGATTAGGCTTCTTAATATTCATAACTATCAATAAATGCCAACCCAAACTCTCAAGTGATCATTGAAATATTATTAACTGGTAATAGTGAGGGTTTTTAAATTTCTATTTTGCTTGCAAGTGACAGAAACCCAATCTGAACTAAGGAAAAGGGGGATTTACAGAAAAATTTTATGACATATTGTATTTTTTCAGAAATGGCCACAATGATATATTTCTTCACTCCCACATGCTTGTCTCATGACTGACATCTGTCTTGCCATGGGGTGGGGAGTATATGTTCTATCCCCTTGAATCCAAACTAGAGTTTATGATTGTTCCAACCAATGGAGCATGACAGAAGTGATACTATTGAACCTCCAAGACTAGGTTAAAGAAAAAGATACAACTTCCATTTTACACACTGTTTATCTCTCGGTACACTGCCATTGGAACCAAGCCATCATGTAGGGTAAATAAGTCATTTCAGTTTGCCAGAGACTCCTCCAGTTTTAGCACTAAATATCCCATGTCCTGGGAAACCCCTCAGTGCCAATCAAACCACTGATGTTTTGTCACCCTACACCACCATGTTGTGAGGAAGCCCAGGTCACATGGAAAGGCTGCGTGAGTTGCTCCAACCAACCACCCTAGCTAACTAAGGTCTCAGCCAGCTGCCAGCATCAGTCCACAGACATGTGAGTGAATTAGATATAGACAATTCCAGTGTCCAGACTTTGAAACTTCCAGCATAGGTGCCAAACATCATGGAGCAGAGATAAGCCATTACCACTACTCCATGTCTGAATTCCTGACCCACAGAAATCAGAGATAATAAATTAATACAGTTTTTTGTAATTGTATATATTTAGGGAATACAATGTGATGTTTTGAAATATATATACATGATGGAATGATTAAATTAAGTCAATTAACATATCCATCATCTCACCTACTTATCATTGTTTTTGTGATGCAAACATTTAAAATCTCTTTGAAGTAAACAATTCATTATTATTAACTACAGTCACCATGCTGAGCAAGTTTTGGAGTAATTTGTTACACAGCAATTGCTAACTAGTACAGATACTGAAGTACAGAGTAAGAATGTAATTGGTTTGTTTGTTTGTTTGTTTGTTTAGAGACAAGAATTTCTGTCACCCAGGATGGAGTGTAGTGGTGTGATCATGGCTCACTGCATCCTTGAACTCCTCAGCTCAAAAGGATCACTTGAGGATCACTTGCCTCAGCCTCCCGAGTAGCTGAGGACTACAGGTACACACCATCATGACCAGCTGATTGGTCATAGGTCTCACTATGTTGCCCAGGCTGGTCTCGAACTCCTGGCCTCAAGCAATTCTCCCACCTCAGCCTCCCAAAGCATTGGGATTACGGGCATGGACCACCATGCCCAGCCTACTTCCTTTCTATTACGGATTATCAGTTCTTTCCAATGTACCATAAAACACTCTTATATTTTCTATCTGATGGCTTCAACCAGGAGGCTTGAATTTCTGGTTCCAAGGAACAGTTCTGATTGGCCTGGCTTGAGTCAAGACAGCAGTTTGGACCAATCAACACTAGCTAGGGATGAGAGGAAGAAGCAGAAATAAAATAATATTGCAGGAAACCACTGTCCCTCAATAACCATGTGACAAGAAGGAGAGCAGAAAGGAGTTTCCAGAAAAGTACAGTCTGAATAGGTGCTACAATGCCTGAAATATAAATACCTAAACTTCATTATCTTAATTAAACATATATTATCAAACTTTACCAAAGGCTTAGTATTGAGAAAAACTATCATAGACAATTGTCTGAAGTATGTGCCGACCATTCATTTCTATCCATCAGGTTAAAAATAGAGATTCTTGGATCACATCCAAATTTATTATTTCAGACCTCTGGGTATTAGGCATGTGAATCTGCATTACAAAACAGATGTTTATGTTTTCATACAATTTGGTATTAGAAAAAAAATTATGTACTTAATAATTTTTGTGTTTTCAGCAAAACTTAGAATTATTTCTCTTCCTCCAAAAACTTTTTTGAAGATCTCTTATAAAATCAAATATTGGACAACCTGTGCAATAACACTTAACAACTCTGCTTTATAAATAATACCTTCCTACTCACTCTAGATAAGTAACGATTTATGCTCCATGTGCAGAAAAAAAAAGAGACACTTTCATTTGTTTTTTAACCTTCCTCCTTCTTAAAGGAGTGCAGGGAAACCTGGCTTTTAGAACATGGTGCATTTTATTTTAATACTTGCACAACTGAATTACAGCAATGTAGGGTTTTTCTGAAGATAACACAGCTGTAGCAGCAAATCAATAATATATAACCTGTCTTTGAAGATCTGCTGTAGATTTTTAACACTGGCATAAGGATCACAGGAGCTACAAATTTCTGCCTCTACACTTCTCCTGATATACCCCTCCCCTGTCCCAGCCCCACTGAATCAACACTCCACACAGTACTCACGGCAATCCTCTATGGTCCTAAGTCAGACCATGCTACCCCCTGCCTAAGACCTATAAATAGCCTCTCTTCAGCTTTAAGCTCACATTCAAATTATTTCCCATATTCTAATATCTCCTACCCCTTTTATTCTCCTGTCCTCTTTGCTGTTGCTCAAATATTACAACAGGTTTCTGCCTCAGGACATTTGCATCTGCTTTTTCCTCTACCAGGAACATAGTCCCTAGATATTTCTATGACTTACTTCCTCACTTTATTCAGGTCTCTGCTAGAATGATGCCTCATCAAAGGGGCTTTTTCTATTTAAAGTAGCATACACCTCCCAACCCTCCTGTTTCCCTCTTTCCTATTACTTTATGTTTTCTTCATTATACTTCTCAGTATCCTAGTGCCTGGCACGTGGAAGGTACTTATTTAAAAGTTCTTGAATGATTAGATAGATAAATGAATGCATGAATCAATAAGTTAATGGTTAGTTTGCTTAGTTCTACAGAATTCTTAGAACTTTATCATTTTGAAGCACCTAATATGCACTCTGAATGACAAAACAGTCTCCTTCAGGAGCAGAGGTTGATGTTATCAAGCTTAGCTTCCATATAGTCTTGAAAAGTGTGATTGATGTAATATGTGAGATTTTATAGTATTTCTGCAAATCAAATATTTTAGACTTGTTTTTCTCTAATGAAGTGTGGTACACTCCCATAAAGAAGGAACTGTATGGAAGACCTGGGCTTTGAAATGGTTGGAATTACTTCACATCTGCAATAGATTATGAGGCAAACATGTTCGTTTTCAAAACTGTAAGATGAAGGTGAATTATGCAGCGCAGCTGTTCAGAGTCTGTGTCACTTACATATTGGAGTCTGCCTGATCATTAAGACAAATTTTACTGTTCTAAAGTTCCCAGCGTGTGCATATGCTTTGTTAATAATGCATCTGGCATTAGCACTTGTGATGATTACTGGGAAAGGTTGCAACATCTTCCAAGAAGGACCTGGAGTTTATATCTCAGGGCGATATTTCTAACTTAATACTTACTGCCTAAAAACAGTTCCTAGATTTTCAAGGGCAGAGAGCTAATTCACTTTGCTATGCCCTGGTTCCCAATGGATGGCTAAATAGGGTGAAGCTCTGACGTTTGCACACTTTGAATATTTCTTGATATGGTATAAATCTAATTAGGCTACAGCAGCTAATGGAAAGACAGGTGGTGCTAATGGTAACTTGTACAGCACATTGCGTTCAAGGCTACCCTTAACAAAAAACAAAAATTTTGCAAACTGTCACTAAAAAATAGGGGCACATAAGCTATTGAGTCAATGTCGTTGTAACTGACTTCTCAAAAGAGACTATTGACCCTTATTTCAGTTCAGTGACTCCAGCATTGTGAATATTATGCCCAAGATCTACAAGTTCAGGTTCAATTATAATCCAGTCGTCGTTGGCAAAACACAAGCCAATGGCTTGGTGCTGGTTGACAGATGAGATCATAGCGCATTATGACTGATGTGTAGTGTCAGAGAAAAATCCAGGACAGCAAAACTTTAGTGTGCTCTGACAGGTCAGTAATGATGAAGACGTTATCACAGTTACAACAACTATGTGCTGCTTCTTAAATGAGATGTGTTTGATATGCCCGGCTAGCTTGGTTGGTAGAGCATGAGAGTCTTAAATGAGATGGACGTGATGGCTGTTATTGCCCAACTGCAGAAGACCAGCTGAATCGGAGTGACTCACAGGGCGTTTTGAACAATACATTCTCTAAGGTTCCACCCTAGAGATTCAAATTGAGTAGATCCAGATTAGAACCCAGATGTATATATTCTTATAATGCTTTCTAGGTGATCTGAGGCCTGTGCAGCTTTGATTTTTAAATTCATATATATATATATATATATATATATATATATATATATGAATTTTATATATATTTAAATATATATATATATGAATTTATAAAATTGAATTCATTAGCCATTCATTGGGAACCAAGGCCTAACAAAGTGAATTAGCTCTCTGCCCTTGAAAATCTAAGAACTGTTTTTAGGCAGTAAGCATTAAGTTAGAAATATCGCCCTGATATTTATGTATCAATTCATATTATATATGAATTTAATTATATGTGCTTCATGATTTAATTGAAATATATACAACGTAAGATGAATTTTTTTTTTTTTTTTTTGAGACGGAGTCTCACTCTGTTGCCCAGGCTGCAGTGCAGTGGCGCATCTCCGCTCACTGCAAGCTCCACTCCCAGGTTCACGCCATTCTCCTGCCTCAGTCTCCTGAGTAGCTGGGACTACAGGCGCCCGCCACAGTGCCCGGCTAATTTTTTGTATTTTTTTAGTAGAGATGGGGTTTCACCATGTTACCCACGATGGTCTCGATCTCCTGACCTCGTGATCCGCCGGCCTCGGCTTCCCAAAGTGCTGGGATTACACGCGTGAGCCACTGCGCCGAAATTTTTAATTTTACTACAACCTATAACAAAACTCAACAACAGTATTTATGGGGTTATATTACTATAAAACTTATTTGATTTTTTTTTTTGAGATGGGGTCTCACTCTGTCACAGAGGCTGGAGTACATTATTTGATATTTAATCCCAAATTATGACAGGCTTAAATTAGAAGATTGGGGGTGGGGAGGAGAAGTATGTAGATATGGGAATGTGACCGGCAGGATGGCAAATAGAAAGCCAAAGGCTAAAACTGAAAAATTTAAAAAAAGAATAGAGGCTGAGTGTGGTGGCTTATGCCTGTAATCCCAGCACTCTAGGAGGTTGAGGCAGTTGGATCACGAGGTCAGGAGATCGAGACCATCCTGGCTAACACGGTGAAACCCTGTCTCTACTAAAAAATACAAAAAATTAGCCGGGCGTAGTTGCGGGCGCCTGTAGTCCCAGCTACTCGGGAGGCTGAGGCAGGAGAATGGCGTCAACCCAGGAGGCGGAGCTTGCAGTGAGCCAAGATCGTGCCGCTGCACTCCAGCCTGAGCGACAGAGTGAGACTCCGTCTCAAAAAAAAAAGAAAGACAAAAGAACAATGGAAACACGCAAGTAGAAATACGGAGTTAAGTTCCAGAAGAAACAGTTGAAAACGTTGAGTAATTGATTCTGGGAGACAAGCATCAGGAACCTGGAAGATACCAGCTGCTATTTTTTCATTGTAAACATTGGACCACTATCTGACTAATCAATGTACTCATAACTGCTTGGTTAAGAAATAACAGTAGCCAGATTTACCCCTCTTTGAAACAATAAAAATAAGACGCAATATATGAAACAACAGGCAAGCCAGTGTACATCAGACAATGAAGGACAGTAATCCCTGAGAGATGGAAACAAATGAGGTAAACCCCAAAATTGCCCACACTTACTGCCTTGAAGGAGTTTACAGAGAGCAGAGTACAGAGGAGGCCCCATGAAGAATCCAGCAGAATCTTTGAGGCAAGGAGACGGAATCGAGAGCCTGAGAAGACCAGAGCTGGAGTTCTCAGAACAAAGTACTGGAGGTGAGAGCTGTACCAGACACTAACCCTAGGTATCTAGAGAGGATCTCCTGTGAGCATTCTGCTGAATACTGATCAACATATGCATGTGAAAGAACTAGCTAAGGCTGGGGGAAGAGGCACCTGAAGAATTACAGAAAATAGCGTTCTCACCATTTGTATCTAACATTATACTGGAGACTCGAACTAGTGCAATAGGGCAAATAATAAAAGAGAGAGAGACAGAGAGAGAAAAGAAGGGAGGGAGGGAAGGAAGGAAAGAAAGGAAGAGAGAAAGAGAACAAGAGAAGAAGGAAGGAAGGAGGAATGGAAGAAAAAATGAGATGAGGGAAGAAATGAAGGAAAGAAAGAGAAAAAAGGAAGGAAGGAAGGAAGGGAAAGAGAGAGAGAAAGACAGAACAAGAGAAGAAGGAAGGAGGGAAGGAAGAAAGGAAGGAATGAGGGAAGAAAGGAAGGAATGTAGGAAGAAATGAAGGAAAGGGAGAAAAAGAGAGAACAAGAGAGGGAGGGAAGCAAGGAGGGAAGGAAGGAGGAAAGGAAGGAAGGAGGGAAGGAAGGAAGGAGGGAAGGAAGGAAGGAAGGAGGGAAGGAAGGAAGGAGGGAAGGAAGGAAGGAGGGAAGGAAGGAAGGAAGGAGGGAAGGAAGGAAGGAGGGAAGGAAGGAAGGAAATAGGGAGGGAGGCAGGGAAGGAGAGAGAGAACAAGAGAAGAAGGAAGGAGGGAAAAAAGGAATGAGGGAAGGAATGAAGGAAAGACAGAGAGAGAAAGAGAACAAGAGAAGGAAGGAAGGAAGGAAGAAAGGAAGGGAGGGAAGGAAGGAAAGAGAGAAACCAAGAGAGAACAAGAGAAGAAGCAAGGAGGGAAGGAATGAAGGAAAGAGAGAGAGAACGAGAGAGGGAAGGAGAGAAGGAAGGGAGGAAAAGGCATCCAAATTGGGAAGGAAAAAGTAACCCTGTCTTTATTCACAGACAACCTGATAACCTATGTAGAAAATACAATACAATCTATAAATAAACCCCTAGAAGTAATGACAAATAATCAGAAATTGACATTTGTTAAAGGTACCATTTATAATAGCATAAAACATATGAAATTCTTGGGGATAATCTAAAAAATGATATGACATAAACTGAAAAATGTAAGACATGACTGAGAAAAATTAAATAAATCCTAAATAAAGACATATGTTATACTGAGTTCATGGATCAGAAGACACAATTGTCAAATGCCAATTCTCCCCAAGTTGATCTATAATCCAGTGTAATCCTAATTAAAATTCTGGTAGACTTTTTGATAGAACTTAAAAACTTGTTCAAAAACTCATATTGGAAAAGTAAAGGACCTAAATTAGTCAAAAAGTTTGGAAAAAGATTTTCAGAACTACAGCTAACACTGCTTGCTACACAGCTGCTTACAATAAAGCCACAGTAACCCAAACAGTGTGGCATTGGTGTATAGGCCAATGTAACACCATGGGGAACCCAGAAATAGACACAAACAGACATGGACAACTGATTTTCAACACACGTGGAAAGGTAATTCAATGGAGAAACGATAGTCTTTCCTTGGTACTGGAACAAAGATACTAGCATGCAAAATAAAAAGCTTTGATCCATAACATGTACCAGGCATAAATATTAACTCATAATGGATCACAGAACCTAAAAAATATAAATCTTCTGGAAGAAAACAGAAAAATTTCGTGATCTTGGGTTAAGCAAATATTTATTTGAAACACCAACAAAATTATAATCAATTTAAAAAAACAATCCTTAGATAAGAGACATCATCAAATCAAAAACTTCTGCTCTTGAAGAGAAACTGCTAAGTTAATGTGTAGAGAAGCCATAGGCTGTGAGAAAGTATTTGAAAATCATATGTCTAATAAGATAATTGTACCAGAATGTGTACTGTCAAAAATCAATAATAGTAAAATAAACCAGCCAATAAAAATGGCCAAAATATTTGAATAGATATTTTCACCAAAGAAGATATATAAATGACAAAAAGCACATGAAAATATGCTATCATTAGTCATTACAAAAATGCAAATTAAACCTAACATGAGCTATCACCACACACATATTAGAATGAATAAACTTAGAGACTGGCCATACCAAGTGTTGGCAAGGTTCCAGAGAAAATGGAACTCTCATATGCTGCTAGTAGGAATGTAAAATTGAATATCCACTTCAGAAAAGAGTTTGGCCATTTTTTACAAAGTTAAACCTACAGCTATAACAAACGTACCACAATCTAGGTAGCTTATAAACAATAAAAATTTGTTTCTCCCAATTCTGAAGGTTAAGTCAAAGATCAAGGAAGACTCGGTGTCTGGTGAGGGTTTGGTTTCTGGCTCATAGACTATGACTTCTTGCCATGTCTTCACCCAGTGGAAAGGGTAGAGAGGTCTGGGGCCTCTTTTATAAGGCCCCCCTTTCACGAGGGCTCTGCCCCAATGTCTTAATCCCACTTCCCAAGGGCCCTGTCTCCTAATACAATCACCTTGGGCTTGAGGATTTCAACATACGAATTGCAGGAAAGGGAGGGACATGTACATTCAGACCATAGCACCTACCATAGGATTCACCTATTCCACTCCTAGAAATAAAAGCATATTCCCACACAATGACTTATACATGAATATTCATAGCAGCTTTATTTGTAATAATTAAAAACTGGAAACAACCCAAATGTCCATTAAGAGACTAATGAAGAAACTGCTACATTCATACAATGGAAAATTACCTAGCAATAAAAAGGAATGCACTCTTGATATGTTCAACAGCATGGGTGAAACTCAAAATAATTATGCTGAATGAAAGAAGTTAGAGGAAAAAGAGTACATACTGTATGATTTCATTTATATACAATTCCCAAAATGCAAACTAATGTATGGTGACAGAAAGCAGATCAGTAGTTGCCTGGGAACTGGGGAAGAGAGGAGGGGTATGGTGGTTAATTTTTTGTGTCAACTTCACTGGACAACAGGATGCCAGACATTTAGCCAAACATTATTCTGGGTGTGTCTGTGAGGGTGTTTCTGGATGAGGTGAACATTTGATCAGTAGGCTGAGTAAAGTGGATTGCCCTAATGTGGGTGGGTCTCATCCAGTCAATTGAAGACTTGAATAGAGCAAAAGGCTGAGTAAGAGGGTACTTCTGCCTGACTACCTGAAGTGAGAAATCTGTCTTTTCTTGCCTTTGGACTTGAGCTGAAAAATTGGCTTTTCTTAGGTCCCTAGCCGGCCAGCCTTCAAATCAGAAGTTACAACATTGGCTTTCCTAGTCCTCACGCCTTTGGATGTGGACTGTAACTACACCATTGAATCTCCTGGGTCTCCAGCTGGAAAGATGGAGATTTGGGGACTTCCCAGCCTCCATAATCATATAATCTTGTGAGCTAATTGTGTGTGTGTGTGTGTGTGTGTGTGTGTGTATCCTAATAGTTCTCCTTCTCTGGAGAACCCTACTGCAAGGATAAAGGAAGGAATTATAAAGGAGTACAAACAAACTTTTGGAAGTCAAGAGTGTGTTTACTTTCTTGATTGTAGTGATGGTCTCAGGGCATTCATGTATGTCAAACATCAAATTGTACATTTTAATATGTGAAGTTTATTGTAGGTCAATTATACTTCATGATACCTCAATCAAGTTGTGAATTTTATATATATATTATTTTATATATTTTATATATATATATAAAATTCATGGTGAAGAACAAATCAACCTCTGAAAATGAGGTAACAAGCTTACATGTACAGCGCTATGGGAACCCAGAGGAGACAAGATTGATTCTGACTGGATATCAAGAACGTCTCACAGAGAAGATGAAGCTGCAGTGTGTGTACCTCTAATCCCAGCAATCTATATCCCAAGAGCCGAATATCTTTTGCATTTTCTTTCCTCTTGCTTTTATCTTAATCCCTTTCAGTAGAACAAGTGGTTTCACATTTGGGCACTAAAATTATATGGCGACTCTGCAGTTAGATAACCAGCATCTGACAAGTTAGATGACCTTTCACTTTCTAGCTCTGTGAATAGGCATGGGACCAACATCTCTCAACAATAAATTTCCTAATTATGAACTCAGTATGATAGTGGCACCTATTTCCTATGTCTTATATAATGATTCAATGAGAGAATGCATGTAAAGGAGTTAGCACAGTATTCAGAACATGGCATTAACTTGATAACATTAACTGCTTTTATTCACTTCTTGCTTTCTGCCAATCATCAGCCCAGATCGACTTTATCATTGCCATTAGAATGACCTTCTATCTTTCTAAGTCATCATTTACTTTCGTGTTAATTACTCCCAATCACTTATTTTCTCACTCTCTGCATTTGCAGTGAGAATTGGTTAAAACCACCTGAATTATTCGGTATTTGGCAAACACATACAATTTGGAATCCTAATCTGGCTTTAAAATAAAAAATTGCCATGAGTAATTTAGTGCTGAACTCAACACTAGCCCGCACTTGAATAGATAAATGTAAAATTACCCTTGGCAGTTCTTATAAAGACATATGTAAATACATGGTTGGGCATAGCACAGTTATTGAATATTTAAATCAATTTGCCCATTACTAATGAATGACTGGCCAGAATCAATTACATCCTAAAAATCAATAAACTAAGAATATCCCACTAGAAATTCTGAAATAGACAAGAGTTTTTTTCCTTACTTGTTATGGTATGCCATCAGGAAATCATTAAAGGATTTAGTAATACCAAATCTGAAAACTATCAAGGCTAGGAAGAGAGCAGCACATTCCAGCACGCTTAGCCTTGGGCCCCTGCCCAGCTGGGGACATCAAACCCTGCAGAACTGTGAAGCTGACAAAGTATAATTTAGGGGCTACCAGCCCCTTTTTTGATACAGTTTCCTCCTCTCTGTAGTTATTTCTCATCCCTTCCTTCACTCTCCTGAGCTCAGGGGCTTATAAGCTATTAACTTTTTCTCAGGGAAAAAATATGATACTAGCCACTTAAATTTTAGTGTGAACAAGGCTTAATGTCTAATCTCTCCTAAGGGAATTTGCATTTTAACAAGAAATTTTTTAAATGGGAAATTTCAGAAAAGAACTTGTTGGCCAGAAGATCATCTGGGGAGAGACATGGGGACTCTTTTTCCTTTCCCCAGATCACATTACTTATTCCATAATTTACACTTGCAAGAGTGTCACTGTTTCTGAGTTTTAAGTCAAGCTTAAAATTGCCTGTTTTCACAGGGTAGTTTTCCTGTAAAATAATGATTTCTTCTTGTATCAAAGGCTAATGATTGAAAAAGTCTCAAAAAAAGAAGAAAAAAAAGTCTCATGAGGCTTTTTAAAAAACAGATGCACACAAATTACAGGAAAAAAACATTATTTACATTAAATAAATAAACATTAAATAGACAACTATTAAATAAACAAGTAAATACTCAATAAACAACTTGGTTTTCTAAGGTGAATATCAAAGCTTTATTGTCAGCTGTTTAAAATAGAGCAAAATATCACCAGAAGTGAATTGAAAATACATAGATATTGTGCCACAAAGTCCCACTGAATTTTATATCGTCTATTAAGACTGGTTGCCCAAAGCAGTTTAAGTACAGTAGAATTACTCATCTCAAGTGTCTAGGGGCCTAGTATGTGTTAGATATTTCTCTAGATAATGGAATCGTCAAATGGACATTGAGTCCCTGCCTCCAAAAATCTCACTGTCTGGAGATGATTGAGGCCATGTGAATTACGATAAGACGCATGGTAAATTCTCAGAGAAAGGAAAGCACAGGGTATGATGAGAACACAAAGTAAAACTCCCGGGTTCTGATCAGAGAAGCAGGACTGGGGGTAGATTGCTTTTAAAAGGAGGACATAAAGATAGGAGAGCTTAGGCCTGAGCAAGAGAGATTTGCAAATACCATTAACAAAATATCCAAACCAAGTACAAGGTCTAAGGTGTCCACTGAAAATGAGGTAGGGCAGACACCTGGCTGAGGTCCAAGTGGATTAGGAGAACTTAGGGGGATTCAGCAATAGGGGTCCCAGACTCAGTCTCAGGGAAATTTAGATATGGGAAGATGAAGCTTCTCATTCCCTTTGCCAAGAGCATTCCTCCCTCAAAACTGGACAACGCTGCCTTCTTCTCACTGGTCAAACATGAAGTAGCATGACCCCATGTCACTTATAACTTGTCATGTTTTATTTCCTTTGCAGCATTTATCAATAAGAGATTATCTCATTTTTTATTGATGTGCTCCTTTATTTTCTGTTTCTCCCCACTAGAATGTAGTTTTGTGAAGGTCTGTTTCATAAAAGGCACCTGATAAACATGCATTGAATGGTTGTTGGATAGAGTTCTAAGGCCCAGGGACAAGGCAGGAAGGTGCCGGTGAACTGGAAACACAGCAGGTTGGTAGAGGACTGCGGGATAAAGCAGACTTTAAGGTCACTGAAAATTGAATAGCGGGTTCAAATAGTCAAAGCAATGGTCATTTTTAAACATTTGTATTCAGATCTTCCTTATGTGAAGCTGAATTCTTTTAAATGTTTGTGTAAATTTACTTTAGATCTTGAGGTGGCTTATTTAATCAATGATGGATCTGTCCTAAGATATCAGCCCACTAAAATAAAATTGGTCAGAAATCAGCGTGTTTCTTAGTACTGTCCTATGCCATTGGTCTGAGATACAGCCATATGCAATGTATCTGATGACTTTGTGTACCTCCCTCCAGTGTACACATTTTAAAAGTCACATTTGCTCTTTGATTCAATGAACTCCTCTGGAGAAATAAAAATTTTGTTCTATTAGCTGTCCTTTCTGATAACCTCAAGACAAAGCTTGTGTTCTCACGATGTCTGGGATAATTCTTCAGTCTAGAGAGTGACAGACTAGATTGAATTAGCTTTGGTTCTTTCATCACTAATTAGGTGGCAAAGCAGGCCTGCTGCAAGGCACACAGACATGGACTCTCTTTCCATAATTAGCCTAATAAAGGATTGCAGCCCTGGCAAGAGATGTCCTTGCATGATCTTGAGATCCAGAATTCTCACAGGACTGTGGGCTTCTCAAGGACAGGAAGGTTGCTTCATCCTCTTCCTATTCCAAGGGTCTAAGTCAGGGTAATGTCCATCACATGACAGGTGCCCAGCAAATACTTGTAGAACCTAATGCATTTCTATGAAGGGTGTTTCTAGAAGTATTACTATAATACACTCTGCCTTTAACCCTGTTTTATTTGCTATTTTTACCAGTATCTTAAATAAAGAGAGACATGCACATCCATTTTTAAAAGGACACAAGCTGTGAGAGAGATAACTAATGGGATGGCTGATGAAATCAAGCTTCAAAATTATCCCCACAGAGTAGAAAGATTAGCTCCAACTGTCAGGATAAAGTTTAATAATGACATGTGTATATTCTCTTACATAGGTGCAAACTATCAATTGCACAGTTGTCAGAAGAAGAAAACCTGATTAGCAGTAGTTGATGTAAAAAAAATCTGGATCTCACCCTTCTTCGTAAATTTAGTCAGCGTTAACTGTGTAAAACTTCAGCCGAGAAATAAAAAAATAAAGCAACGATAGGAGATTTTAATACAAATATAATGTATAGAATGTACAAAGCAAGGTAAATAATCTCACTACATTTTGTGGTCCTGGGACTACACTCGAAGGATTTATGTAGTTCCAGTTACAGAGTTTTGCTCTTGTCACCCAGGCTGGAGTGCAGTGGTGCGATCTCGGCTCACTGCAACCTCCACCTCCCGAGTTCAAGTGATTCTCCTGCCTCAGCCTCCTGAGTAGCTGGGATTAAAGGCACCCACCACTACACCCAGCTAGTTTTTTGTATTTTTAGTAGAGACGGGGTTTCATCATGTTGGCCAGGCTGGTCTTGAACTCCTGACCTCAGGTGATCCACCCACCTTGGCCTCCCAAAGTGCAAGGCCAGTTGCTATATTTTAAGAGATAGTCCAACAAATGAAAACAGTACTTCTCCAGCTTTATCACGCATACAAACCATTTTGTTAGTACGTCTGGTTTGGGGCCTGGAAATCTGCATTTCTAACAAGCTCTCAGGTGATATTGATGTTTCTGGGGCACGGAGCACTTTTTTTAAATAGCAAGGCACTAGTGTCTATTTTGAGACAGGCCCACAGCTGGAAGACTTAGGAATCTGAAAATCACAAGCCATGATAATGATGGAAAGAACTGGACTATTGAACACGAAGAAGGTTTTGCATGGTGGGGACATACTTTCAGTCCTTAAATTTTGAATAACTGTCATAATAAAGAACAGACTTGTGCATTCTGGTCACCAAAAGCAAACACAGAAGTGGAAGAAATTGCAAGATGTAGATTTTGGCTAAATATAACAAAGCACGTTCTAGCAGATGGAGCCACTCGGTGATAGAAAGTGCTGCCTCATAACCTTGGACATGCCTCTGCAATTGACAAGGCTGAGGAGGAACTGGTCAATTGCCAGTTAGGCATGCAAAGATGATTCCTATGTGGGCAAGAGAAAAGACTTGATACAATTTAAGATTCCTTTCAACTCTAAGATGCTGTGAATCTGCATCTTATTTATTATCTCTTTGATGTCTCCTTAATGGTTTTCCCTCAGCCTATTGTTCCAGGCCCATGAACTTCACTGCAGATTCCCTCTTCTGAGAAATTGGATGTGAAAATGTTCTGCAAAATATATAGCACCATATAAAATACAAGCTTATATTGAGAATTTTATAGTACTCCATTAATTTTCTTTCATTTCTACATATCTGGTTGTCAATTTAACATGGAACTTGCTTGGATCAAGGCAATATTCAGCAAACAAGTGATATTCAATTATGAATAAAAGGCATATTTCATACTAATGAGCATAGAGGAAATAGTTAGATACTTGGATATGTTACAAAACAATTGTGGCATTTCCAACATTTCAAAATTTAAAATAAATTCTAACTTCTAGGACTCTTTTGTTATAATCCACTGTGAAATTTGAGAGATAAATTAATGGATATCTCAAGGTCATTTTCAAACCAAGGGTTGAAAAAAATGTAAGCACATCCTTTAAAATATCAATGTAACTTTTTCTTGTATTCTGTTGTGTCTGTAAATTGATTGCGTAGCTTCAACATTTCCTAAGCTTTACATTTCAGGGCAATTTTTAGAGAATTGGCATCCTGAAACATGGTGAAGGCACTTCATTAGGCTTATTACAGGAACTGAATCGATGCCTTGGTGCCCCGAGGCAGGCCTGCTGTGCCATCTAATTAGTGATGGAAGAACCAAAGCTAATTCAATCTAGACTGTCGCTCCTGGGACTGACAGATTGCCCTGGACAGCTTGGGAGTACAAGCCCTCCCAGAGGATTACAGCACGAATACCAGCCCAAGAAGGGCACTGAGATGTCAAACCATTAAAGCTCTTCCAGTTATCCCCCAAAAGCAGTTTTAAATACAGCACATTTCATGGGAAGAATTGTCACACCCAGGAGATTTCAAAAGAAAAAAATAAACGATGGAAAGAGCTTATTTACAATAACCTGCCACTTTATCCTGACATGAAGTGTCAACTAGACACTGTTCTTCTGGATTTTGGATTCAAAAAATGGCAAAGGAGACCCCATTGCCTCACCAGAAAACAATGCTGTATGTGGATGGATTTATATGATAATACAGTAGAGAAAAAACAAACTTCTTTCACATTCAGAAACTGATTTGCCTTTATAACCACATAGAAGGGTATCTAAAGTAGATAATCCCATTTAATTGATGAAGACACTGAATTTCAAAGAATCTAAGTGGCTTCCTCAATGTTACAAAGATGCTAAATCATAGAGCTAGGACTCCTTTTAACTCATAATTTTCTTTTCATTTTGGAAAAAAACAATTAAATGTCATATTTTCTGTGAGAACTAAAATATGCCATTAGATTATACCTGTATATTGCTACAGTAGAGATATGTTTAAATAGTTCTACTATTAATGTTTTTAATGGAGTTTTTTGTTTCCCCCTGTAAAACATAATTCTCTCAGAAAATATTCTTTATAAATATGTATGTTTACTCAGTTTCTACTGTGTATAATGCACTTTACAAAGTCCCTTACATGCACTATTATTTATTCCTCACTAAAGCCCCATGAAATAGGCATAAACAGCTTCGTTTTTTTAAATGAAAAAATAATTAGGAAAGATTAACCTGCCATTGCTCTCACAGCTGGCAAATGGCAAACGTGGTTCCTCCGTCACACCATGCCCCGCCTTTCAGTACTATGGAATCATTGACTAATTTATTGAACAATATTTGTTGAATACATGTATCTCAGAGTAGAATCGGAGCTCAAAATGTAGTTGATGATAATTTTGAATTAATTAACTTTTGACATCTTAAAATCATTTTCACATTCAGCTTGAAATTTGTATCTTGCTGGACATCACCAATTTTGTTGTTGTTGTTAAAAGTATCTACTTGAGGTACAGTAAGTGATGAGTTAACATATGCTTTTCTGTGGAAAGAAAGCCTTTGAGATTCTGAACTCAAAGATGAGAAGGGTGCCAGGGAGTAAAACCCACTGGGTTTAAATTTGCATTTTCTCCATACCTTATGCCTAGCACGGAAAGCCCACAATGAGGTATGAAGGATGGGAATAGAAAAGAAAGTGGTGAGACAAATACATTTTTCATTTAGGTCTGCAGAAATCACACACCAAAAGGAGCTCAGTGGTCTTGGGCAAGAGACAACTTATCCAAGCCTCAATCCCCTGACCTGTTTAAAAAAAAAAAAAAAAGAAAATCACTCTCAGCTGTTTCTTTCTCTTGGGATTGCAGTGAGGAGTAAATAAAATAATGTCTATAAAAGCATTTCTAAACTGATAGGTATTACAAATAGAAGACATTACATACTAATATAAGGTATTGACATTTGCATTTTTGTTAAGTATTTTCACTGACTTGGCTTTAAATCATTTCCTTAACTGGCCTATTACTTTTGGGTGCTGGTCCCACTCAGCTTTTTTTGCTGAAATGAGGAGTGTGTGTGATGATTAATTTTATGAATCAACTCAACTGGGCTAAGGGAGTGTTGGCTAAACAATATTTATGGGTGTGTCTTTGAAGATATTTCTGGAAGAGATGAGCATTTGAATAGGCAGACTGAGTAAAGATCACTCTCACCAATGTTAATGGGCATCATCCAATCCACTGAAGTCCTGAATAGAACCAAAAGGTGAATAAAGGATGAATTTATTTTATCTGAAACATGAAAGCTCCTGGTTCCCAGGCCTGTGAACCTGAGACTTACACCAGCAGCCTGGCCTGGTTCCCAGGCATTTGAACTCCACCTGAATTACATCACCAGCTTTCATGGTGGTCCAGCTTGCAGACAGCAGATCGTGGGACTTCTCAGCTTCCATAATTGTATGAGTCCATTTCTACAATAAAGCTCCTCTAATTTCTACAATGGGGATATAAATGAAGCAGTGAGAAGGATGAGGATGTGGGGCCAGTTCTATCAGGTTCACATCTTAATAGCAATGTGATCCTAGGCAAGTTGCTTAAATACCTATTTCCCCCTCTGTGAATTGGGGAAATAACACCGCTTTTTCAAAAGCATGTTATCTATCTAAAGCACCTAGCCAAATTTAGCGCTCAGGATATTTGCCAATTGTTAGTTTCTTTCTCATAACTATCCAATAAATCAAGTAATTTTTTAAACCTACTGTGGCTTAATTCTTAGTACTCTCTTTCCCAGACAAAGGATAAAGAGTTCTAAAACATATCTAAATTTGTTTATTATGTGATCTTAAATAACTAATGTGATTTTTTTTAAATATTGCATGCTATTTTCAACTCTAGCTTTTATACCAAAAGAGGCCATGGGTGATTCTGAAACACAGAAATCCTCATCTCTACTTCTAAACCAAGAGGCTGATAATATGTTAATCCATGCTTTTATCAGGGATTAGAAGAAAACGAGTCACAAAAACTGCAAAGACTGATATATACTAAGTCCAGTAAAAATTGAAGTGTAATAAATACTGTTATATTTTTGTTACATGAATCATGTATGGGAACTGTCTGTATCCATGAAAAATTTTGAAATTTCTCTCTAATATATTCCTCCCACAACAACCCCCTCCCCTCAAATTGATGTCAATAACATTCCAGATGAAGTTTATCCTTTTATTAAATACACATCAGCAAATAAAGAAATACTTTTTGAGAAGTGCAACAACAACACCCCTTAAATGAAATAGCACTGATGCTTTTCAATGTTCCCAATAGTACATGCATTAAAACAGTATAGCTCTCTATAGGGAAGAAATACATCTTAAGTAATTCACTGCAATAAGAAAATGTAACTTCAGCAAACTACATATTTTATGGTCATCATTGTTTTGGGGATTTTTTTCTCTGTTTCCTATAATTAGCTGGGTGATTTTCTAGCTGATGTAATAAGCATGATTCTATTCAAGTTGCCCTTGTAAATTTACCGTAATTCCATTACCTCCCATCAGGCGGAGACATAGCTCTAGAAACCAGAAAGTTAAACAGCAAAGACATCTTAAAGTACTTCTTTTAGTTGCTTCCTATATGAATAGTTACTATACTCAGTTATGGATATTTGTCTCCTCAAGAAGAGCAATGAAATGTACATTCACAGAAAGACAAAATCTGGCAATACATGTGTCTGGAAGACGCTCAGGTCATTCGGTCACCACTTCAGTGACTTAACACAACTTTCTGTATCTTGGGGTCTTCATTTTTATCATTCTCGCCTGCCAAGGCTCAAAATATTGCTGCTTATAGAATGGTGGTGTCTCCTTAGAGAAAATATAGCATGTAAATAAATGCCCATTCTTTATTCCCTTATCTATCTACCTTTTTTTAGAGTCAAAACAAATTCTGTTCCCATAAAATCTTCCTTAATTACATTCACCACATTTTGCTTTCTCCTGATTTTGGTGTTTTATTAATTTCTCAAAGAACTGAAAATAGAACTGCCATTTTATCCAGCAATCCCACTACTGGGTATCTACCCAAAGGGAAAATAAATAATTATATAAAATTCTACCTGCATTCATATGTTTATCACAGCACTATTCACAACAGTAAAGTCATGGAATCAACCTAAAAGTCCATCACTGGATGATTGCATTAAAAAAATGTGATAAATCATGGACTACTACTTAGCCATAAAAAAAAAAATCATGACTTTTGTGGCAACATGGGTGGAACTAGAGGCCATTATCTTACGTAAAATAACTCAGAAACAGAAAGTCAAACACCACATGTTTTCCTTTATAAGTGGGGGCTAAATAATGTGTACACCTAACATACAGAGTAGAATAATAGACACTGGAAACTCTAAAAGGTGGGAAATTCAGTGGCGGGTGAGGGATGAAAAATTACCTACGGGGTACAAGGTATACCTATTTAGGTGATGATTATACTAAAAGCCCAGACTTTACCACTACATAATGCACCATGTAACAAAATTGCACTTATACCCCCTAAATCTATAAAAAGAAAAATAAAATAAATAAAAAATAAATGCTTTGTTGTCCTTTCAACAACTTTTACAGTATCTTCATAGGA
This sequence comes from Homo sapiens, assembly GCF_000001405.40. Lineage (NCBI taxonomy): Eukaryota > Metazoa > Chordata > Mammalia > Primates > Hominidae > Homo > Homo sapiens. The sequence continues at coordinate 109,854,455 of NC_000011.10, forward strand.
ACGGAGGATGCAGTGAGCCAAGATCACACCACTGCACTCCAGCCTGGGCAACAAGAGTGAAACTCCTTCTCAAAAAAAAAAAAAAAAGAAGAAAGAAAGAAGCCACGTTCTTTGTACATCCATAAGAAGCAACTCTTCATTCATTGAAGTTGTATCATGAGATTGCAGCAATTCAGTCACATCTTCAGGCTCCACTTCTACTTCTAGCTTTCTTGCTATTCGCACCACTTTTGCTGTTACTTCCTCCACTGAAATCTTGAAGCCCTCAAACTCATCCATGAGGATTGGAGTCAACTTCTGCCTAACTCCTGTTAATGTGCATTTTTGACCTTCTTCCATAAACCATGAATGTCCTTAATGTCATCTAGAATGATGAATCCTTTCCAGAAGATTTTCAGTCTACTTTGCCCAGATCCATGAGATGAATTGCTATCTAAGGCAGCTCTAGCCTCATGAAATATATTGCTTAAATAATAAGACTTGAAAGTCAAAATGACTCCTTGATTCAAGCAAAATGGATGCTTGGTTAGCAGGTGTAAAAACACCATTAATCTTCTTGTACATGTTCATCAGAACTCCTGGATTACTAAAATATTACTCAATGAGCAGTAATACTTTGAAAGGCATCTTTTTTCCTGAGTAGTAGGTCTCAATGGAGGCATTAAAATATTTAGTAAGCCATGCTTTAAACAGATGTGCTGTCATCTGGACTTTGTTGTTTTATTGATAGAGCATAACAATTTTTAAGGGCCCTAGGATTTTCAGAATACTAAATGAGCATTGGCTTCAACTAAGTCACCAGCTGCATTAGCCTCTAACAAGAAAAGCAGCATGTCTTTTGCAGCTATGAGGCCAGGCATTGACTTCTCCTCTCTAGCTGTGGAAGTCCTAGATGGCATCACCTTCCAATAGAAGGCTGTTTTGTCTACATTGCAAATCTGTTGTTTAGTAGCTACCTTCATCAGTGATCTTAGCTAGATCTTCTGGATAACTTGCTGCAGCTTCTACATCAGCACTTGCTGCTTCACCTTGCACTTTTAAGTTACAGAGATGGCTTCTTTCCTTAAACCTCATGAACCAAGCTCTGTTAGCTTCAAACTTTTCTTCTTCAGCTTCCTTACCTCTCTCAGCCTTCATAGAATTCAAGAGAGTCTGGGCCTTACTCCAAATTGGGTTTTGGAAGGCCCAGACTGACTGCTCCACAGAACAGCTTTTTCCCCATCTCTTTCCATCTATGCCCCTTTCCTCAGGCCTCCCTACTTCCTGAGACACAGAAATATTTGTGGCTGATTTGATCTTCTATCCAGACCACCAAAACTTTCTCCATATCAGCAATAAGACTGTTTCACACTCTTATTACTCGTGTGTTTATGGAAGTAGCAATTTTAATTCTCTTCAGTAACTTTTTCTTTGTTGTCACAACTTGGCTGTTGGGTGAAACAGGCCTAGCTTTTGGCCTGTCTCAGCTTTCAACCTGCCGTTCTCACTAAGCTTAATCATTTCTAGCTTTTGATTTAAAGTGAGCAACGTGCAACTCTTCCTTCCCCTTGAACACTTAGAGGCCAATGTAGGATTATTAATTGGTCTAATTTCAGTATTTCTGTGTCTCAGGAAATAGGGAGGCCTGAGGAAAGGGGCATAGATGGAAAGAGATGGGGAAAAAGCTGTTCTGTGGAGCAGTCAGAACACAAACATTTATCGATGAAGTTAACTGTCTTATGTGGGCATGATTCGTGGCCCCCCAAGATAATTATAACAGTAATATCAAAGATCCTTGATCATAGATCACCATAACAGATATAATAATAATTTAAAATTTAAAATATTGCAAGAATTTCCAAACCGTGACACAGAGACAAGAAGTGAGCACAGGATGTTGGGGAAATGGCCCCAGTAGACTCGTTGGATAAAGGGTTACTACAAACCTTCAATTTCTTAAAAATGTGATTTCAGCAAAGCACACACAAAAAAAGATATACCTGTTCAAAAGGCCTGGGATTTATAGCATATGTGAAAGCAGATATAGATGCCAGAAGGTTGTGGAAAAATGAAGAAAAGTTAATTTTTGAGAGATTATATCCATTAAGAAAAATAAAAATATGGTCTCTATCAGCTTAGAAACTGAAAGAAAAAAAAATAATCTATAATTGTATCTGCATCCATATAGGCATTGTGTTAATAAGGCCTACTTTACATGGCCACCACCAATGACCTTGCTGTGGACATCATCTCTGTTTTAGAGATATGGTGACAATGACTATCACAAGGACATTGAATAGCATGAAGCCTGAAACAAGGGTGGTCTCTGGCTCTGTATCCATGTTGTTTCATAAACTGGGTTGGTCAGGATGAATAATGTCCTACTATCCACAACCAGAAGAATATCTGTGAAAGGGCAACAGAACCAGGGCCCTTAAAGTCTGTCAATTACCCTCTACAAACTCATTGTGTATACACATGGATTATTTCTAGTACATCTAGCCAGATTGTTTCATTTCAACTCTACCCATTATTGAGCTTTGGATGACACTGGAATTTTCTGCCCAAAATATAGGGATTCTCCCTCTCTGAGCAAGTCAGCACACAGTTTATGGCAAATAATAAATACAGCAGTTTCCCTTTGTCATCATACTTTCTTTGACACAAGTAAAGCTGGTGACTCAGAATTGTGGGCCCACGTCGTGGGGATATGGCTGCAACAGAAGAAAAATGAACAAGTCCTGAAGATAGGAAAAATCTGCAAAAGAGCTGATTCAGAGAGGACAGGCTATCTATCACCAAAGACCTTTCTGACCCAAGGTCTGCTGATATCATATAAGAAATAAAGGACTGAGAAAGTCACAAGGCCTAGGACTATGCTGAATAAGATAGAGAGGTGCAGATTTTGCAAAGGCCTGTATTATCAAAGTTTTCAGACCTCTCCTCAAGAGTCGAAATGGTCAAGTGTATACCTTGGAAGAAAATACTTATACAGACTTGGGTGAATGGGAAGTTGTTATTGAGTGGGTAGGGTCCGTATAGTTTGAGACGATGAAAAAGTTCTGGAGATAAATGGTGGTGACAGCTACATAAAAATGTGAATGTATTTAAGGCCACTGAAATGGTACACTTAAAAATTATTAAAATGGTAAATTTTATGTATTGTATATTTTACCACAATAAAAAACCATATTTACAAAAAGCATTTCAGTAGCAAACAGTAACTAGTTTTGTAAAGCAAAAATTTAGAAAGTGGTCAGGCAATGTTATGCCCATTTAATGCCTGTTTTTAAAAAGTGAAGAGTCTTGGCTCTAGAACTAGGTACTGGTTTCATATCAGAGCATCTGAGCTTCACCTTTCACTAGTTCTGTGACATTAGGCACATTATGTCATTGTTCTAAGACTCAGTTTTCTCATCTATAAAATGGGTCAATTATATAACATGTCATGTTTAGGATTGCTGAGGGGGTAAATGACATTATCCACATAAACTGCCTGTGCTGTAAGTGTTTGGGAATTCTTAACTATAATGTTGTTATCATTATTGTGTTGTTATTGTTGACAACTAAATTCAGACATTACTGAATTGTCTGAACACAAAAGCCTTCAACACAGTTCTTAGGAGGAGAGAAAGGTAAGAGCACACAGTTAAATCAATAGGAAATTTATTAAATGCATATTATAATTCAATCTTCTGCTAGGTACTGGGAAAAAGAAAATGAACGAAAGACAAAAACACACCATAGGCCCTAAAGAAGTTTACAACCTCACTGAGGAGATAAAGTAGATACATGACACATTTCAACAGTGTCGAGTGCATAACAACATTCAAGGTCCTTCACTGGTGCCACTCTTGGGAGAAGAGAAAGCCCTTCCAGGAATAACATGCTGTGGTATTTAGGTATTCAACAGGCACGTGTCTGGTGTCAGCCAGTCTTGGCCTCAGATCCCACCTCTACCCCTGCAAGTAACCTAATCTCTCTAAGCCTCAGCTTCCTCATCAACACAACAGTGATAATATGGGTAACTAACTCAGAGGGTTGTTTCAAACTTTAAATGAGATTGATGCGTGCAATGAATTTAGGACTTAGCACAGATTAAGCCATCAGTAGAAATTACCTTATTTAATAAAAAATCTAATATGGTAAGCACTGCTTATTCTTATGCAAGAAAATCAGGCCTCAAAAGATTAAGGGACTCACCCAGTGTCTAGCTAGTACATGGCAGAGTCAGGAATCCAATCCAGATGATAGGACTCCCGACCCAGTGCCCTCTCCACGGTACCAAAACCACCTCTGTGCTGTTAATGTTAAGTGAGCACTGAGAGAAATTCCTATGGCAATTGAGAAGATGGTTAAAACAATGTCAATAAAGTGGTTAAAAAAAAAAAAAACCTCATGAATGAAGTAAAACAGAAAAAAAAAGGTAGGATATTATTCAAAACAATGTTATTGGAGACTTCTTTTCCATACACTATCTCACTGAATCTCTACAACAATCCTTTGAGACATAATTAGCCCCATTTTACTGTTGAGAGAAATGAAACTTGGAGTGGTTAAAACAAAAACTTATAGAATGTGCCAAGATTAGTAAGAGGAAACATTAGGATTCGAACTGATAGAATCAGTTCTATCTGATTTCAAAATCATTGCCTTTAATCAAAGAGAGAAGATTTCCAGATGAGAGAAAAAACATGAGTTCCTTACTAATTTTTTAGGTGAATAACAAAGACTGAGTGTGAAATAAACAGAGCAAATTCAGGGAGATGGAGTACAGGCAGGGAGGACCCAGGAAAGGAGGGGAGGAGGAAAGGAATCTGTGAGGTGGATGGAGACGACAAGAGTAATAGCTTAGAGAGAGAGCACCCTTTGGTTTCCTTTAAATCAAGGAGACTTTTGCTTATACATTCTCTTTATTCCAATGAATTTGAGCAGAATCTTCCTCCTTTTAGATGTCTTTTTTTCTAAGAATTTGATTTTAATTTCTGTGGCTAACTCCTGCCAGATAATTAGTATCCAGGGGGATGCAGGAAGAGTTCATTTACCTCCTCAAAAGAAATGGTTCAATCCTGAATCATAATGGAAACTGACTCACTGCAGAATCAATCATGGTGATGACCAAGGCCATAGCGGTCTCACTGAAGGCCAGAATCCCTGACACTGCTCATTCACAATACACTAAGATAAAAGTTCAAGGCGGTGACTAAGAGCAACTCTGAGACTATGTTTAAACAAAAGGTTGTATGGGTCTGTGAGCTCAACTTTATGGACATCTTTAAAGAAGGCCTCTAAAGGCTTTTGAGAAAAAGAATTGGCCTTTGAATATCTTGAATTTTAATTAAATTGAATGACCTAAATACAATTTATTGTAGAGTACAGGAGATATCTTTATTTAAATAGAAATCACTATTGATTTCTACATTTTGTAGGGGCATGTTATTAAGCACTTATCTGTGAGTCCTCCAAAGAACAATCTTTCATCTGACCAAGCTATTTTAAAGACTGATCTCTAAACACGTGAGAGAAGGAAGCAGAGTCTAGTCTTCTCACCAATGACTCTGGGAAATAAGATGAGGCTCCTTCCAGGAGCTATCAGGCATCCAGCCTCAGGAGTAGCCTATATCCTTCAAGAGAATTCAGAAGGGATTCATGGGGCACCAGGCTCTGCTTTTACTTTTCCCCAGCATTCTTTCCATTCTCCTGCAATGACAGCAACAGAAAAACTTCTAATCTACAGAAATTCTGCACCTTCCAAAAACTTGATCTATAGATGCCAAAAACCTGCATGGGCAGAATCGTCCAGTCCTGATGAGAAACAATGATGAGGAAGGATCTGAGTTGGAGCTGCTTCCTTAGGATCTGCAAGCTGAAAAATTGCTTCTCAACAATCCCAATGGTTAAGTATCATCAGGCAACCAGCTCTTTCCCTGCTGCCGCATAAAAGACCGTCCCCTGTAGAGAAGACAAATGACCCAGATACAATTTCTGGTGATTCCTAAAGTCAAAGTTTCCTTTGCCTACTCTTGGGTAATTAAGTGGTTGTTGCCCCAAAACAATAAATAGTATTTCTACCTCTGTTTCCTGGTTCACTCTTCTGACCAGTATATTGGAATAATGGACTTAGTAATAAAGACACAAATCCTGAAGATTTAAATTGCAGATCCAGAGCTTTCTAATTCCATTTAATGTGATAACCTCAGGCATTTGGGTCAACAGAACCTGGCAAGAGCACTCCAGGTTCTAGGTTCTAGATCCAGATTTCCTTGTGAAGAGACAATCTAATCAGTTCTGCACTATGATCACAAGTCACCATTGTTAAGTTAAATAAAACTCTTTTTCTTAGTAATATAAACTTATGTTACATGCTATATAAATTGATGTTCCACCCTTGAATATGCTTCTTTATATATATTTATTAACCACATAAAGCTAAAAAACATAAAAGCTGCAACATAAATATTCTTCCTAGGGGGTTTTTCTGCATAGGATGAATTGGCTGTGGTGTCTCTAAATGCAATTTAAATAATGTTTGGACTAAAGGTGGTTTCTTTTCTTGGGTAATATCTCTGCAGCAAATAGGAACATTCCTCACATGTCCAAGAACCTCCCGTGTTTAAAATTGTATAACCTTAAGTTTTGTAAAGAATAACCACAATCTGCCATATCCTGAACCTGTTCTGCACTTACATAACAGTTCCCAAGCAAGATACCACACTGAACTAGACAAGAAATTTAAAGAAGAGCATACTGGTTTGTATGCCATTAGTCTCTAAGACACAAACAGAAAGACTGAACAATTAGGTTAGGACTATAAATTTGGCCTTCACTATTGTCCTAATCACTGTCATCAACATTCAAAAATATCTGTGAAATATATACATGTATGTATATAGGGTGTATGTATACTGTAGAACCCAAATGAGGAACCAAAATATCTGTCAGTATAACTCATTATTTTTTATAATGATTTGGATCTTAGATATTTTGAAAAAACCAATCTTTTCAAAGTTAAGTTGTGTTTTGTTTAAAATGTGTTTTAAAACTATGCTGAGAAAAAAAATTGTGATAAAATCAGGAACATAGCCGGGTGCAGTGGCTCACGCCTATAAGCCCAGCACTTTGGGAGGCCAAGGCGGGTGGATCACTTGAGGTAAGGAGTTCGAGACCAGCCTGGCCAATGTGGAGAAAACCCATCTCTACTAAAATTACAAAAATTAGCTGGGTGTGGTGGCATTTGCCTATAGCCCCAGCTACTTGGGAGGCTGAGGCATGAGAATTGCTTGAACCCAGGAGGTGGAGGTTGCAGTGAGCCAGGATCGCACCATTGCACTCCAGCCTGAGCGACAGAGGGAGACTCTGTCTCAGAAAAAAAAAAAATCAGAAACACTAGTTTGAGAGTTTGTTTATTAATTGCATGCCTACTGTGTTCCAAGAACTGTATTACATGCTGGGAATATAAGATAAAATATGCCATCCTTATTTTTTAAGAGTTCCAAGATTAGACACACTGTCTCTCTCATTCTCTCTCTCTCTCACATACACACACATCCTGCACAGGCTAGTGAGTCCTAACGCACAGGTATAAATGAGCAATTCATTGGGCACATGAAGGAGGAGGAAGAAGAGCACACAAACCACAGTGATTAGGAAGACATATCAGAGTTGTTAGAGTCACCAAAGTATAAAAATGATGTAACTAAATCCTAATCAGAGGATGGGCCAGAAAGCCAAAGAACATATGTAGTGCATCAGCCAAAATGGTGGAGAGAGCCTTGGAAATTTACAAGGCCAGAACCCTCATGTTAGGGTTTAGGCATGAAGAAATTAAGTGACTCATTAAGGTTATAGGAGTTAGAAATTTGGAGCATATAGATGAGGTTAATTTAAACACGTACGCAAGTGCATTTAATTAAGTTTATAAGAACCTTCACATTGATGAGGATATTTTGTAAACAGATCTATCCCACTACAGAGGAATCAAAGGCAAAAGAGAAGGCCTTATAATCTTTGCAACTAAAGAGACCTTGAGTCTAAAAGTATCAAAATCAAGGGCTGAGATTTGGCTTTGAGTCCTCTATGTCTATGATGAGTTCAAGGTTTCTGCTGTCCTCATAGAGAAAACTAAGAGTAATGATTAATGGCAATGACATTTAACCAAGAAATTCTATGTATATCATTGGACTTTGCTTCATATACAATCCCCTATATATATGTGTGTGTGTATGTATATTACTGAAGGTTAGCAATTCGTGGTTAGGTGGTTTTTTATATTGTTTAATTATGTAATTATGTTCATTCATAATTTGTGTTAGATTGTTTTTAAAAGAGTTTATTTTATAACAAAATTAATCAATTGAATAATAATTCCCTCTCTATTGGCTGCCTTGGAGGAAGTTCAGATTATTGACTCATGTAGCCAATGTTAGACACTATTGTTTCCCTGGTAATAGCTATTTGAGATGCAGAGATAATATCAAAGATAAAATAACGTGTCCTGTGAAAGTCTAGGCCAAGGATACAAGAACTTTCTCATACAAATCTGGATTTATGGCTTCTCTTAAAGAGGTGAAAGCTTTAACAAGGCCAGATTCACATTTCCGAATGATAACAACCGGCAAAAGCCAAGTTGCAGCTGCCCCTTCTGATGGTATGAGAACTCTGGTTCACCTCCATTCTCACAAGCCAAGATGAATATTTCTGACCTGGCCCTGTAGACATTTGAGTTTATGATCCCTGTCATAGTCTTATAGACTTAAATCCAGAATTCCAGCAAGCATCACAGATGTTTAATGTTCTCATTCTTTAGAGAAAGGATTTATTTTTATTACATTGGAATAAACTCCACTGCCTTTTTGAAATGTTTTAGTCCTTTGAATTTTAGCCAGAAATTGGAATGCTGACAGTCCTCATTTGTATTAGTGAACTACCTTGTTCTATCAATTTTAGTTTATTATAGAAAATGGATTTGAGAATCTCTAGACTCTAAATTTTAATTCCTAATAATAAATCCATAGCTTTCTGCTCTACCTCTTCTAGCATAATTAAGAAGGAAAGTTAGTATTGGAATTATTGAAGAGTTTGAAGAACAGCTACTTAGAAATGATAATAAACACTTATGTATCTAGTTTATCACCAAAGCAAGACATCCCACGACATTCAGTAATTAATAGTATGACCTATATATTATTGGGAAAATTAATGGAGTACATATTTCAAGTAAAATCCATTTAGTAAATGAAAAATGTTTTAGTTCCACACCATTATCCTCAAAAAGAGGTAAGCCAAAATGAATGAATTGATTCAGTCAGAAAGAGGAATAAGAATCACATAGTTAAGTATGAAGGCTGTTAGAGTCATTTTCACGACATCAGAACTCTGAAGGCCTTTAGGGGTCATGTGGGTAGAGGCTTTCAGGATTAGGAACTTCAGACTCTCCATCATTTGATTTTTTTTTTCCTGCTTTCATTTCAGAAAATAAAACAAAACAAAACTCTTTGCAAATTCTCGCTTAAAGGTTAAGAAACTTTGCTTATTTCTCCTAATTTGGGTATTTTCCCACCTTCCTGAGATGTGCTGTAAGATATCAAAAGCTCAAATATATCATCAAGTAATTTTTATGTGGAAATACTTAAGGCAAATCAAGAAAAAACATGTCAAATTCAAGAAGCTTTGGAATTCTTGAATATGCCCCTATGAAAGCATTGCAAAATGTTAGTGTTTCTCTTTTGAGACAATTCCACAGCATTTTGATGCCTGACCCAGACACACCTCCTACGTAAGTTTCCCTCTCTGGTCAGTGTCATCTCTATTCAACAGACAGGAACTCCAAAGTTCACTCAAGCATTTTAATGATCTCAAGCTGGGTAGCAAGAGCCTGGGGGCTTTTTCTGAGTCATATGGAAACTGCTGCAGGGTGACAATCAGAACCTTACAGAATTATCAAGTGTGAAATGAAGGCAACACCAAAGGAAAGAAATTCTCACTATTTTCCAAGGTAGTGACCTTTTATCTTCTCCACTTCAAAACTTCATTTTGTGACTACGATGCCTATCAATTACAGAGGTCATTTAAACTCTCAAGAGAAAGAAAGAATTCCACCTTGCTAAGCAATCCCTGAGCTCAAAGCTTTGATCACACTTCAAAAGAGAACATCTCACACCAAGATCACCCTCTCTTTTATTGGAGGGACAGGACTGATCTGCCAGTGAGAACAACTGCACGGCTCCAGAGCATCTCAGAGGGTCAGTCTTCCAGGCAGCTGGTTTCTTCTCCCTCTTTTCCTTCATCTGGAATATGAAAGAGTGAATCAGAAAACAATCTCACTCCACACTAATAAAGGAGTAAGTTGAAATAAGGCCTCTAAATGGAAAGGAGACACTAACGAAACACACCCTCCCAAAACCAAAAGGATGAAACCATTTAGAATGGTAGGTAAAGGGTTTCAGCAGCAGTCAAGGAGGCTGGAAACAACCAACAATGTATGTATCCCTCAACAGTCATGAACCTAAGACTCTCAATAATTACTCAATCACGAGGGAGTAAGTGTAGTACATTGGCAAGACTCCAAGCTTTAGAGTCTGAAAGACCTAAGTTTAGATACTGGCTCTGTTGCAGATGGCTTTGTGCTTTGAGTTACTTCATTTCTTTGCATTTCAGATTTCTCATCTCTACATTCCTTTTATAATATCTGTCTTTCAAGATTGTTGTAAGGGTTGAATGAGATAATACACCTAAAAATGCCAGACACATTCATTGCTTAATGGATGGTAACTATTGTCATGATTATTTGTAGCGTTAATAAATAGGTGAGAACTATCAGCTCTCTTGCTCTTTCTTTGTTGCCCCTATAGCATGGCATAAATTTACAGTACTCCCTTTGGGTTTCCTTTTCCATCAAAGTCAAGCTCTGTCATATCCTGTGGCTGAGGCAGGAACAAAAGAGCTAAATATATAAGAGTCAGAGCAGGAAGTTTGGGGCAATCTAAAAAGTGCACCTCTCCAACTGGGTGAAGTGAGTACCTGGAACATGGACCTAACTGTATGTGTAAGAAGATGGAATTTTTCTCTAAAAGAAATGTCATTTGTCCTGAGATATAAAATGAAGCAGACTTTAGACGAAGGAAAGAGAATGATTTCCTGGACTCTCAGGATCCAAACTTGGAGCTTAGGGAAGAGGCTGGTTCCAGGCAGTGCAGAAACCACTTAGGAACTAACTTGTTTGAGGTGAGACATCCACATCTGCTGGAAAATGTGTCTGGATGTGCATATGTGCATGTGCATGAACTCATGAGCAGGGCCCCGCTGGGTAGTGACAGGAGTCAAACCCACACTGGTGTGCAGGGGCAGCAGCGGAGGCTGACACAGAGAGCAGGACTTTCTCTTCCAGCTCTTCTTCCAGGGGTGTCAGCAGCAGCTGACATCTTAGCTCAGTGGACGAGACTTCCCCAGGATCCCAGATTTCTAGATATCAGCAGTGGCACACCACCTACTCAGCTCCAGGAAACTACCTCTGTACTGCCAGCAGACAAGGGCAGCACCAGCATGCCAGGTTGCCAGTGTTTCAATAGTGACACCATGTGGCAGTGACAATCAGACTTCCTACTTGGCTAAGCCAATTTCTGGTTTTCTTTCCTTGACCTGAATCTTTGGATTGACTAAGAACTTTTTCATTATCATGGGACCAGATACCGATGAGGTAAGAGAAACTTGTCACAATAGGTGAGATGGTGAGTCAATAGTTTAATCTGAATGTAAAATACGACAATGTGTGTGCTGCAAACTGGGGAGATGATGAGGGAATCACAGTGCTGGAGAAAAATACCTGGAAAGCACGTTAACAGAGGACAGGCCGTCCTCTCCCTAAGCACAAAGAAGTGTGGGAAGCAATAATAGGAGCACCATGCCAGTCAGCAGAGGAGGACAAGAGAAACCCTAAGAGCAGACCAGATAGAGTGGCTTTGGCAGGCAGACCAGCAGTCAGCCTCGGAGAGCACTGGTAGAAAGTGGTAGCCCCCATTTCACAGGACTGAAGCTCAAGAACAGACTTCAGTGCTGGGTGGGGTGGAAGAGCAATGATAACAGAGAAAAACAAGCCCAAGTCATTGAGGGCTGGGGGCAGGTTAAGCTATGAAGACAAGGACCTCGGACACAGGATCTGGATCAGGAACACACTTATTAGAACACAGCCAGGCCCTGGTCTCAGGAGTAGAAAATAAGGTACGTTCATTCATCTACTCAGCAAATATGTAGAGTCCTACTATATTTCAGGTACTATTATAGGCAGTACTCTTTAGGAGCATCCAAAAATCCCTGCTCCCAAAGAGTCTGCATCCTATCAGGGGAGATGGACAACAGATTAAATAAGAAAATGTACAGCAGATGGTGATTCATGCAATGGAGAATAGGAAAGCAGGGAAAAGAGAGAGAGGACATGATGGGGGACAGGGTATATGTTAAATAGGATGGCCAGGGAAGGCCTGAGAAGGTGTCATGTCAGCAAAGACACAGAAGAGGTGAGGAAGTGAGTGGCATGGCCATGTGGGTACAAGAAGGATAGAGGGAGTAAGAGCACAGAGGCAAGAGCAAAGCGGGCCTGCCTGCAAAAAGGCCAGTGTGGCTGGAGTGGATGGAATGAACAGGTGAAGAGTCAAGGAGGCCCGAGAGTTGTGGGGTCAAATTGTGTGGGGCCTGTGGATCACATGGACTTCATGCTGAGGGAGATGGAGGCCTTTGGAGGGCTTTGGACAGAGAAGTTGAGACAAGGCAGTCAGGCATGAGGGCAGCAGGGGCAGGCTGGTCAGAAGGCTGTGAGAGCAGCCCAGGCTGGAGGCGAAGGTGACTAGAGCCAGTGGGCTTGCCATGACAGTGCTGAGATGTGGCTGGATTCTGGATGTATTCTGAGGATGGAGCCAACACAGTTTCCTGACAGGTTGGTTGTGGGATATGAGAGGAAGGGAAGAGACACATGCATGGCCCCCAAGTTTTTTGGCCTGAGACACTACCTAGATCTTTTTTTTTTTTTTTTTGGAGACGAGTCTCGCTCTGTCGCCCAGGCTGGAGTACAGTGGCGCAATCTCAGCTCACTGCAAGCTCCGCCTCGTGGGTTCACACCATTCTCCTGCTTCAGCCTCCCAAGTAGCTGGGACTACAGGCGCCCACCACCACGCCCGCTGACACTACCTAGATCATGAGTAGGTCAGGCTAGCCCGGGCAGCAATATTACACTGTTCTGATTCCCCTGAGTCCCTTAAACCCCCTAAACCCACCAAGACACCAGATGCCTGCAAGCAGGGAGTTACATTTGGTTACAAGCCATGAAGGTGAAAAGGATAAGAAAAGTCAAATCATCGTAAAACCTCTATTTCAGATCCTGTAAGGCCAATGGACTTCTGTCCCCTTGGTCACAGCTGCTACATGAGGTGGCACTAATGTCCCCTGAGACCAGCAACACATAGGCAGTCAGGTTATATTGTTCTGCTTTTCTCTGACCTGTCACCAGAAAAGCAAATAAAACAGTTCTAGACACATGGTCCTGAAGCATGCTTTGTGAGAGGGCATGAACACATGGCAAGCACAAACTTTCCTCATGCATATTCTCCAATGAGCTATAAGTCAGCAATCTTAGGCTGTCACCAAATCGATCCCTTTCATAACTAATCATGTTTTGCTAACCTTCAGACACACGTAAGTAACTGACCAATTCCACTTACCTCAGGCATTTTTGTGTGGCCCACTGAGAACCTTTGTCCTAACCCCCTGCAACTGTCAAGCCGTTTTGAGAGTGTTGATCTTGCAGGGCTTTTCTCCACCTCCAGCCCCACTCCTACTCCTCATTCCTCCCGTCTCTACTTTCCTTGAACTGAACTGACCAGTACAATCCACATGTCTGGTACAAACTTAGCCTCTTTTTCACAGCCCCATTGCTTACTTCTCCTTTCTTGCTTTTTAAGGCCCGTTACCATCTTCATCCCTGGCTTCCTACTGGTATTTCCATTAATGAATGTCCTCTTCAAAACAGCCCAACAGCATAACTCCTGTATGGTGTCATTGTAGGGTATGCTCCACCAGTTTTCAGAATAGAGCAACTCTCTTAACAACTCTTCTTCCATTATCCCAACACACACACACACACACACATGCATGCACTCACACACAGACACACACTTCATATGTCCTTCATGTCTGTTACTTTGTGACATCAGAGCTCCCACTTACCAATTCAGTTTGAAAGCTACATTATAGCCACAATTCCCTCATAGGAATGGTCACCTCTGAGAAATTTAAGATTCTCCTTTTTGCGTCTTTGCAGAGGTTGAAAAGGTGAATCAATCCATGAAAACGCTTTGCTCTTGAGCTCTCTGGGGACATTCTTGCAAATATACTGGTGCTCTCTGTGCTTTGGGGTATACTAAGTAGTCACCCTTTTATCTCCAGAAGTTTATTTTTAATGAAATGCTGACATTTTAGCATTTCATTGCATATCTGCATTCTAGGGTATCTGTCAATAGTGACAGGACTCAAGAAAGCATGAAAAATAATCCACTCATTATCAGTCCTTTGTTGAATTTAACTACAATTGTTATACCCTTGAAACAGATTTTAGTTGGTAATGGAAAATCAATACAAATAATAAGAGATGGTTTAATCTCCTTAGGTATGTTGTAACTCACGTCATTGCACACATATTCATTGCCCTACAAACATACTCAGAGAATGACATTCTAGAAAGAAATGCAATGCATAAAGAAAATAATATCAGGGTGCAGATAAAGGACAGTAATTCCTCTGGCAAAAACAAAATGTCCTTTCGGGGCATATGTGCCAGTCATGCCTATGTGGTAAAGTAAAATTTGGGCAATTTGTCTTATTAAATTGTTCACCCAACAACCATATCTGTCTCAAATGATGAAAGAAGTCAACACTGTGTGTCAGGCTGCCTTTTGAAGCATGGTTCCTGACCCTTTCCAGTGTTGGCAGTCTTGTAGCAGTGATCTTTGACAGACATCAGATTTCATATAACTTTCTTCTCCACTCTAACAAAATGTGCTTCTCTGCTGTACTGACCCAGGAAGAGAAAGCTTGGGTACAGTCACCAGTCCTGGGTTCTAGAAAATTCAATAGCCGTTATCACTTTAGGATAGAATACATATTTTTTCTGGTAGCACCAAAATTTGCTATTGAACAAAATACTTTACATTCATATTTTCCATGCCTGTCACATCTTGCTATTGGCCTAAGATGGCTTCAGAGAACTGTCAAAAGATAGCCTCAAGACAAGTGAAATAAGCCAGACACCAAAGGTCAAATACTGTATGACTCCACTCACATGACATATCTAGAATAGGCAAATTCACAAAGACAGATTGTAGAATGAAGGTTACAAGGAGCTGGAGGGAGCAAGAAATGGGGAGTTATTATTTAACCTTCACAGTTTCTATTTGGAATGATGAAAATTTTTGGAAATAGGGGTGATGGTTGCACGACATTTTAAATGTAATTAATGTCACTGAATTTTACACATAAAAGTGTTTAAAATGGCTAATTCTATGCTATATGTAGTTACCATAATTTGTTTTAATTTTGAAAAGATAGCCTGAAGAAACTGAGGTGGAATTTTCCCCTCCACTTTAATAAACAAGGGTTTTCTCTACAGCCACCCCTAAAACTAAATTAGTAGAGTTTGCATCATTGCACAGAAAAGATTCCTATCCCCATGCCAGCAAATGATAGAGGTATTTGTGCTCCTCTTTATAGGTTGGAAGCAAAAATCGTTCAGAAATTTCCTCCGGATACAAAATTTATATATACATACATAAATTATTTATCACCGCAAGCTTATAATGGAAAAACATCATGTATTTGGTTCACCCATCGCCATCTGTGCTCCCGCTCCCTAGAGGGAGCTTCTTTTAAATGAGTCTCTGGTAGTTACCTATGAAGCCCTACATAGTATGCTTAAACCACTATTTCATGCTGTATCATCTCTACCAATTATTTGTAACTTCCTGCTGTAAGAGATAAATGATAGCTCACTTGTACCACCTCCCACCGCCTCTACCCTTTCCCTCACAATACAGTTGCATCGCTGTTCTCAGTTCCTCCCACTGATTGCCTCTACAACCTCAGACTTAAATCTCCATTTATTACTCAAACAGACAATTTCTTTCGGCTCCCTATTTTGGAACTGGAGATATTAGTGATTCTCTCTTCCTCTCGCCTTCCACTCTCTTTTACCTCCTAACATCTATCAACTCTAGTTTCACTTGTATGTGGTCCAAGCTAAAAGTAGTTATGATGGTAAAATCTATGTTTTTTTAACGGGATTATTGCAAAAGTTGAATACCAGTAAACAGTGTTTGCATTATAGTAATCAGGTAAGTATTGTTATCTTTAGGAGCACTGGGCATGCTGGAAGTATTCTTCCTTCTCTCAGATCTTAATGCCATAGCCACTTTGACACTTGGAGAATAATCCTGAGATTTAGTTCAAAAAGATTCTTCTGCTTCATACTCAT
This sequence comes from Homo sapiens, assembly GCF_000001405.40. NCBI lineage: Eukaryota > Metazoa > Chordata > Mammalia > Primates > Hominidae > Homo > Homo sapiens. Next base: position 109,870,947 of record NC_000011.10, read on the forward strand.
CAATTGCTAAATTCACACTTAGTTTGCTACAGATATGAATCATATCTGTCTTATATATTAGGTTGGGGCAAAAGTAATTGCCATTACTTTTAGTTTGCAGTTAAAAGTAATGGCAAAAACCTGCCAGGCACAGTGGCTGACACCTGTAATCCCAGCACTTTGGAGGCCAAGGTGGGTGAATCACATCACAAGGTCAGGAGTTCGAGACCAGCTTGGCCAACATAGTGAAACCCCGTCTCTACTAAAAATAAAAAAATTAGCCGGGCTTGGTGGCTACTTGGAAGCCTGAGGCAGGAAAATTTTTGGAACCCAGGAGGCAGAGGTTACAGTGAGCTGAGATCATACCACCGCACTCCAGCCTTGGCGACAGAGCAAGACTCTGTCTCAAAAAAAAAAAAACAGTAACGGCAAAAACCACAATTACTTTTACACCAACCTAATAGATTGGTTGGTTGGTTGGTTGGTTGGTTGGTTGGTTGGTTGGTTGATTGGTTGGTTGGTTGGTTGATTGGTTGGTTGGTTGATTTTTATTGAAGTTCCTAACACCCTTACCTTTTCTTCTTGCCTTCTGTGCCTTAATCAGTTTCCAGGGTTTCTCAAACTCACTCTATTATCTATTCCATCATACACCCTTTATTCCAATGACCTACCTTGCAGTGCCCTCCATATTTCTGTTCTATATGGACTCAGCCTATTTCACAAGTGCCTTTTCACTGAGCTCCTCTGTTAGATCCATCATTTGTTTGTTTGAAGTTTCCACCTATTCTCACAATTTGCTCTAAATCCTCTAGGGTTATTCATTTCTGGTTTTATTTTTCTTTTTGTGGGTGGTAAGAAGAGATCTTTTATGTTTTTATATTTCCTAAATATCTTGGGATTCTTAGTGGTCTATTTATATCTGTTTCAATAAAAATTGTTCCTGATTAAAAAAACTTACAACAAATCAGGTATAAAAGGAACATATCTCAACATTATAAAGGCCATATAAAGGCCATATAGGACAAGCCCACATCTAATATTGTACTCAATGGTGAAAAGCTGAAAGCTTTTTCTTTTATGTTATGAACAAGACATGGATGTCCACTCTCACCACTTTTAGTTACTATAGTACTGAAAGTCCTAACCAGGGCAATTGAGCAAGAAAAATAAAAAATAAAAGATATCCAAATCAGAAAAAGAGAAGAAAATTTTATCTGTTTGCAGATGACAAAGCCTTATATATAGAAAACTCTAAAGCCTACACCAAACAATTGTTAGAACTAAAAAACAAATTTACTAAAGTCACAAGATAAAAAATCAGCATACAAAAAACAGTTGTAGTCCTATCTGCTAACAATGAACTATCCAAAAACATCAAGAAAACAATCACATTTACAATAACATCCAAAAAGATAAAATACGTGAAAATATATTTAACCAAGGAGGTAAAAGAGCTATACACTGATAGCTATAAAAGATTCATGAAAGAAATTGAAAATGACACAAATAAATGGAATGATATTCCATGTTTATGAATTAAAGAAATTAATATTGTAGAAATATCTATACTACCCAAAGCAATCTACAGATTCAATGCAATCCTTATCAAAATACAAATGACATTTTTCATAGAAATAGAAAGCATAATCCTAAAATTTATACAGAACCACAAAAGACCCTGAATAGTCAAATCAACCTCAAGGGAAAAGAAAAAAGCTGGAGAAATCACACTACCTTATTATAAATTATATTATAAAGTTACAGTAATCAAACAGTATGGCACTGCCATAAAAGCTGATAGACCAATAGAACAGAATAGAAAGCCCAGGAATAAACCTACATATCTACATTAAATTGATATTTGACAAAGGTGTCAAGAACACACAATGGGGAAAAGATAGTCTTTAATAAATGATCTTGGAAAAACTGCACATCCACATGCAGAAGAACAAAATTGGACTCTTATCTCACACCATATATAAATATTGACCCAAAATGAATTAAAGACTTAAATGTTAGGCCTGGACCTGTAAAACTACTAGAAGAAAACAGAGGGGAAAGTCTCTATAGCATTGGCCTGGGCAGTGATTTTTTGGCTATGACTCCAAAGGCACAAGTAACAAAAGCAAAAATAGAAAAATGGGATTGCATTAAACTAAAAATCTTCTGTAAAGAAAACAATCAAGAGTAAAAAGACAACCTATAGAATGGGAGAAAATATTTGCAAACCATACATCTGGTAGGGGGTTAATATCCAAAATATGTAAAGAACTCCTGCAAATTAATAGTAGGAAAACAAATTTTAAAGTGGGCAAAGGACCTGAATAGACATTTCCCCAAATAAAACATACAAATGGCCAACAGGTGTATGAAGAAATGCCCAACATTACTAATTATCAGAAAAATTCAAATAAAAACTATGGTGAGATATCATCTCACATGTGTTAGAATGGCTATCACACACACACACACAAAGATATAACAAGTGTTGGTGAGGATGTGGAGAAAAGGGAACTCTTCTTCACTGATGATGAAGTTAGTAGAGCCATTATAGAAAATAATACGGAGTTCCCTCAAAAAAATTATAAATAGAGCTACCATATAATCCAGCAATCCCACTACTGGGTATATATTCAAAAACAAGGAAATCAGTGTGTCAAAGAAATACCTGCATTCCTGTGTTTATTGCAGCACTGGAATCAATCTAAGTGTGCAAGATATGGAATCAATCCAAATGTCCATCAATAAATGAATGGATTTTTTAAAATCTGGTATGAGATGTGTGTGTGTGTTTGTGTGTGTACATACTCACAGACACACACAAAGTGAAATACTGTTTTTTCTTAAAGAAGAAGGCAATCTTGTCACTTACAACATGGATGAAGCTGGAGGATATTATGCTAAGTGAAATAATCTGGGCGCAGAAAGACAAATACTGTATGATCTCACTTATATGTAGAGTGTAAAATTTTTGAACTCGCAGGAGCAAGAGTAGAATGGTAGTCACCAGGGACTGAAGCAGGTAGCAGATGGACAGATATCGATCAAAGAGTACAAAGTTTCAGTTAGACAGGATGAATAAATTCTGGGGATCTATTGTATGGCATGGAATGGTTAATAGTAATCGTATGGTTAATAGTAATGTATTGTACACTCGAAAATTGCTCTAGAAGTAAATTTTAAATGTTCTTACTACAAAAAAATAACTATGTGAGGTGATGAATATGTTAGCTTGGTGGTGGTAATCATTTTACAGTTGTCTAAGGCAGTAACTAATCAATAAGCCAACTACCCCAAAGGGGCACTATATTACTAGGTAAATAAATAGGCACTGTACATTGGAAAATGGTGTAGCTATTTTCACCTTGTGAACCTGAGACACAGCCAAAAATCAGTGGTTAAAAAGATCACTAGGTGCTCAAATGCCATTCTTGGCAAGCACTAAAAGCAGGAAACGTGTACAGTACAGTACTAAATTCGCTTAATAGAGAAAGAATCATCCCCACATTTCACATAACCAGAATCCAGAAATTGGTATTGCAGTTTGGATATTGATGGATTTTCATAATTAATTCTGCATGTGAAGTACAGTATGGGACTCCCACATCCTTTTCCCCTATTTCTCTGAGTTACCATCTGATTGGCTCCTGAGTCGGCCACCTGGCTCCTGAATCGGCCACCTGGAGCACAGCACTAAGCTGTGAGTCACCTGCAAGGGTTCGTTGGGCTGGAAAAAACTAGTCCCACAACATCCTCTGAGGACACTGGAAGGTGAACTTGTTGCTTCTAATTGAAGGTGGGTCTGGAGACCCCAGTGTTGCATAACAAACTGAGGAAGAACCCCCAGATATCTAATCTGGCATAGTATCCACTGTATCCACATGAAGATTTTCTTAGGTTCTCTTAGATGTAAGAAATAAAGACTCAGTCATTACTTCAAGCAACTGGGAGTGGGAATGGGATGGGGCATCAGTACATGGAGAATAATTCCTATAAGAGCTTGTAAGTTCAGGAAATTATAAACAGCTAAGCCTCAGAACACAAACTGAAGCGTCTAAGAAACTTCTGATGCAGGGTTATTTAACCTTTATTCTAATACAACTAGAGGAAGAAAGTCCTTTCTGGAGAGCCCCTTCCTCAAAGCAGGTCTCAAAGAATTCCTACAGATAAGATTCCAAGAACTAAACTTGAAGCAAAAAAAAAAAAAAAAATACAAAACGTGACAAACAAACCATCATTAGTGATTTTAGCAAAAACAGAGCAACTGGAACTTTCATACATTCCTGGCTGGAATCTGACAATGGTACAATTACTCTGGAGAACTGTGTGATCCTTTCTTTTTTTTTTTTTTTTTTAATTTTTTGAGATGGATTCTCACTCTGTCACCCAGGCTGGAGTGCGGTGGCGCGATCTCGGCTCACTGCAAGCTCCGCTTCCCGGGTTCACGCCATTCTCCTGCCTCAGCCTCCTGAGTAGCTGGGACTACAGGCGCCCGCCACCACGCCTGGCTAATTTTTTGTGTTTATAGTAGAGACAGGGTTTCACCGTGTTAGCCAGGATGGTCTCGATCTCCTGACCTCGTGATTCACCTGCCTCAGCCTCCCAAAGTGCTGGGATTACAGGCGTGAGCCACCACGCCCGGCCGATCCTTTCTTATAAAACTAAATGTACATTTACTATACATCCTGGCAAGTCCATTCTCAGGATTTACCCAGGAAAAAAGAAAACATATGTTCACCAAAGACTTAGACTCAAATGTTCATTGTGACTTTATTCATTATAGCCCCAAACTGGAAAAATTCATATGTCCACTAAACAAGTGAACAGATAAACAAATTTGATATAACCATGCAATGGAATACTACTCAGCAATGAGCTAGGAATTAATTACTGATAAACACAATAACATTACACTTAGTGAGAGAAGCCAGAAAAAAGAGAGTATATTCTGTATGATTCCATTTATATGAAATTCTGGAGCAGGCAAAACCAATTTAGACTGTCACAAATGAGAATAGAGGTTGCTTTGGGCAAGAGGCGGCTGGGAAATTCACTGCAAATAGACTAGAAATGTTTTAGTGTAATATAAATATTCTTTATCTAGATTATGGCGGTGATTACATGGGTATATTATTTGTCAAAATTTATCAAACTATATGCTATGATGATACTACATCTATATAACATGATGACAGCAAACATCATTTTATTGTATGTGAATATGCCACAATAACGGTATTTTTTTAAAAAAGGTTAAAAACAAATTCTTAAAGGTAAGAAAAAATTAATTATTTTATCCTTTCTGAAATAAGTTATTGATGGGCTCTTCCTTCTCCTTCAGATTTATTACAGGTTGCACTATAGAGTTTGGGGGGTGAGAGGATTTGTTTTTGTTTTTAATTGCCTTTTTTACTTCTTTAATATTTAATGTTGAGGTTAGTGGCCTTTGATGTAAATTATACTCCTGGAAGAAATAAATCATTGCCTCAATAAACTAGACATTAACTTTTTACCCTTAATTTGCTCCCTAATAATTTTTGCCTTTAGCAGAGAAAAAGACAGCAAAATATAGATTATGAGAAGAGTCCCTCCAGCAAAAAGAAACCATATATTTTCCAATCAAAAATATGTATCAGAGTCATTCAGACTGCAGCATGGATTTGAAAGGAGGTTGCATTTTTCCCCTTAGTATGTTAGGTGCTGAATATTCTCAAAACACAGCAGGTCTGCTATAACACTGTTCAAACCACATGAAGAATTTTTTATTTCTATGAGTTGAAGTTGAATGTTTCATTATTTTTAGATAAATAAATATGTACAATATTTATACTTTCAGCAGTAAAAATTGTATATTTTAAACAAAGGAATCCATTTCTATGCTACCTTAATTTTATAACATACACTTTTCAGGTGTATATTTTAATGGGGGTCTAATTACCATTGTATTTATTTTAAGTGTTTTCATACTAATTTGTTCTTGGCAGCAGACAAGAGGCAAATACATTTTAATCATTAGTTCTTAATCACGAGTAACCTTAACCCAACCTCCCAGGGAAAGGATACCTGCATTTTATAATTGGTCCTTTGTAGGACCAATTTTTACAAATCTCTCCCAGAACTGCAATTCTCAACCAGGTTTATCCTAACCTCAAAGCCTGTGCTCTTAACTTCTGTGCTACACCATCTCCACAGATTGGCAATCAAGCTCAGGACACAGGACCCGTTCACATGAAACAATTAATGTATACCCTGGCTTCACTACCCAGATTGGACCCAATGGACTTCACTCTGCTTGACCTTCGGCCAAATCTCCCATGTTAATCTGTCACCCAGGGTCACTCCCTCCGTCTGTTTTCACTTTGGCTTCCTGGCTGCTGAGTGGTGCCAAAAGAGAGCTAGAAACTGGGGAATTGGGGGGACACTGCAAACCCATGCTCTCGTAGCCCAGCTAATCTTCTCTGCTGTGTGGGGATTTCTTTACTCTTTTTACTGTGGAATATTTAGTGGCTGTTCTGACTCTTTCTACTCCTTTAAGTTTCTAATACTAGACATTCTCTTTACAAAAGAAGGAATTTTACAAAGAAGATAAATACAATTTATCATGATATTATTAACCTTTATCTCTAAGAATTTCTCTACTTCTTTTTCTTTTCCTACTCTCCCTCTCCTTGCTAAACTTTTTCTTTTTTTTTTTTCACATTATGTTTGCTTTATTATACAAGTAATAAGCAATAAACTGGGTTAGTACTCAGAATATACCCACTCCCCTCCCACTCCCACTGTGGGTGGCATATACTTCCCTGCCCCATTGGTGTTGGGCTTGGCCATAGGACTTGCTTTAGCCAATAAAATGTTAGGAAATGAGGTAAACAGAGGCTTTATACATGCTTGTGCATTTTGGCTTGTCACTTGGGCTCTGACAAGCTGGAAGGTGAAGCGAAGCAAGCTTTTATAACTGTTGCCCCTTCAGCCAGAGCCCCAGAATGAAGGCACGTGGGGCATACAGCCTGACCTGCAGTGAGGAGCCAGACCTAGTCCAACTGCAATTTGACTGATTTAGCAGGGCGGGGCTGAGACAGAGCAGCCCTTCCATGCCCAACCTAAGTCAGTCAAATTGCAGTTGATCTGCAGAACTGTGAGCTTGAGAATAAATCCTTGTGTTGTAATCTACTGAGATTTGGGGCTGGTCTGTTATGCAGTATCAATAGCTAATAATTATATAATATATATTTACTGTAGAAAAAATTAAAAATATAGATAAGTAAACAGGGAAAAATAATATACCCATGATCCTATCACCCAGAATAAGTACTGTTAGCATAGTGGAATATGGCTCTTGGCTATTTTTCTATATTTCACAGCAATGGGGGCCTAGTATATATACCTTTTTTGTAATCTGCTTTTTCTTTTTTTTTTTTTTTGGGGGGGGGTTTATTTTTTTCCTTCTTTTTTTTTTATTATACTTTAAGTTTTAGGGTACATGTGCACATTGTGCAGGTTAGTTACATATGTATACATGTGCCATGCTGGTGCGCTGCACCCACTAACGTGTCATCTAGCATTAGGTATATCTCCCAATGCTATCCCTCCCCCCTCCCCCCACCCCACCACAGTCCCGAGTGTGATATTCCCCTTCCTGTGTCCATGTGATCTCATTGTTCAATTCCCACCTATGAGTGAGAATATGCAGTGTTTCGTTTTTCGTTCTTGCGATAGTTTACTGAGAATGATGGTTTCCAATTTCATCCATGTCCCTACAAAGGACATGAACTCATCATTTTTTATGGCTGCATATATTCCATGGTGTATATGTGCCACATTTTCTTAATCCAGACTATCATTGTTGGACATTTGGGTTGGTTCCAAGTCTTTGCTATTGTGAATAATGCCGCAATAAACATACGTGTGCCTGTGTCTTTATAGCAGCATGATTTATAGTCCTTTGGGTATATACCCAGTAATGGGATGGCTGGGTCAAATGGTATTTCTAGTTCTAGATCCCTGAGGAATCTCCACACTGACTTCCACAATGGTTGAACTAGTTTACAGTCCCACCAACAGTGTAAAAGTGTTCCTATTTCTCCACATCCTCTCCAGCACCTGTTGTTTCCTGACTTTTTAATGATTGCCATTCTAACTGGTGTGAGATGATATCTCATAGTGGTTTTGATTTGCATTTCTCTGATGGCCAGTGATGATGAGCATTTTTTCATGTGTTTTTTGGCTGCATAAATGTCTTCTTTTGAGAAGTGTCTGTTCATGTCCTTCGCCCACTTTTTGATGGGGTTGTTTGTTTTTTTCTTGTAAATTTGTTTGAGTTCATTGTAGATTCTGGATATTAGCCCTTTGTCAGATGAGTAGGTTGCGAAAATTTTCTCCCATGTTGTAGGTTGCCTGTTCACTCTGATGGTAGTTTCTTTTGCTGTGCAGAAGCTCTTTAGTTTAATTAGATCCCACTTGTCAATTTTGGCTTTGGTTGCCATTGCTTTTGGTGTTTTGGACATGAAGTCCTTGCCCACGCCTCTGTCCTGAATGGTAATGCCTAGGTTTTCTTCTAGGGTTTTTATGGTTTTAGGTCTAACGTTTAAATCTTTAATCCATCTTGAATTGATTTTTGTATAAGGTGTAAGGAAGGGATCCAGTTTCAGCTTTCTACATATGGCTAGCCAGTTTTCTCAGCACCATTTATTAAATAGGGAATCCTTTCCCCATTGCTTGTTTTTCTCAAGCAAAGGTTTGTCAAAGATCAGATAGTTGTAGATATGCGGCGTTATTTCTGAGGGCTCTGTTCTGTTCCATTGATCTATATCTCTGTTTTGGTACCAGTACCATGCTGTTTTGGTTACTGTAGCCTTGTAGTATAGTTTGAAGTCAGGTAGTGTGATGCCTCCAGCTTTGTTCTTTTGGCTTAGGATTGACTTGGCAATGCGGGCTCTTTTTTGGTTCCATATGAACTTTAAAATAGTTTTTTCCAATTCTGTGAAGAAAGGCATTGGTAGCTTGATGGGGATGGCATTGAATCTGTAAATTACCTTGGGCAGTATGGCCATTTTCACGATACTGATTCTTCCTACCCATGAGCATGGAATGTTCTTCCATTTGTTTGTGTCCTCTTTTATTTCCTTGAGCAGTGGTTTGTAGTTCTCCTTGAAGAGGTCCTTCACATCCCTTGTAAGTTGGATTCCTAGGTATTTTATTCTCTTTGAAGCAATTGTGAATGGGAGTTCACTCATGATTTGGCTCTCTGTTTGTCTGTTATTGGTGTATAAGAATGCTTGTGATTTTGGTACATTGATTTTGTATCCTGAGACTTTGCTGAAGTTGCTTATCAGCTTAAGGAGATTTTGGGCTGAGATGATGGGGTTTTCTAGATAAACAATCATGTCGTCTGCAAACAGGGACAACTTGACTTCCTCTTTCCCTAATTGAATACCCTTTATTTCCTTCTCCTGCCTGATTGCCCTGGCCAGAACTTCCAACACTATGTTGAATAGGAGCGGTGAGAGAGGGCATCCCTGTCTTGTACCAGTTTTCAAAGGGAATGCTTCCAGTTTTTGCCCACTCAGTATGATATTGGCTGTGGGTTTGTCATAGATAGCTCTTATTATTTTGAAATACGTCCCATCAATACCTAATTTATTGAGAGTTTTTAGCATGAAGGGTTGTTGAATTTTGTCAAAGGCTTTTTCTGCATCTATTGAGATAATCATGTGGTTTTTGTCTTTGGCTCTGTTTATATGCTGGATTACATTTATTGATTTGCGTATATTGAACCAGCCTTGCATCCCAGGGATGAAGCCCACTTGATCATGGTGGGTAAGCTTTTTGATGTGCTGCTGGATTCGGTTTGCCAGTATTTTGTTGAGGATTTTTGCATCAATGTTCATCAAGGATATTGGTCTAAAATTCTCTTTTTTGGTTGTGTCTCTGCCCGGCTTTGGTATCAGAATGATGCTGGCCTCATAAAATGAGTTAGGGAGGATTCCCTCTTTTTCTATTGATTGGAATAGTTTCAGAAGGAATGGTACCAGTTCCTCCTTGTACCTGTGGTAGAATTCGGCTGTGAATCCATCTGGTCCTGGACTCTTTTTGGTTGGCAAACTATTGATTATTGCCACAATTTCAGAGCCTGTTATTGGTCTATTCAGAGATTCAACTTCTTCCTGGTTTAGTCTTGGGAGAATGTATGTGTCGAGGAATGTATCCATTTCTTCTAGATTTTCTAGTTTATTTGCGTAGAGGTGTTTGTAGTATTCTCTGATGGTAGTTTGTATTTCTGTGGGATCGGTGGTGATATCCCCTTTATTATTTTTTATTGTGTCTATTTGATTCTTCTCTCTTTTTTCCTTTATTAGTCTTGCTAGTGGTCTATCAATTTTGTTGATCCTTTCAAAAAACCAGCTCCTGGATTCATTGATTTTTTGAAGGGTTTTTTGTGTCTCTATTTCCTTCAGTTTTGCTCTGATTTTAGTTATTTCTTGCCTTCTGCTAGCTTTTGAATGTGTTTGCTCTTGCTTTTCTAGTTCTTTTAATTGTGATGTTAGGGTGTCAATTTTGGATCTTTCCTGCTTTCTCTTGTAGGCATTTAGTGCTATAAATTTCCCTCTACACACTGCTTTGAATGTGTCCCAGAGATTCTGGTATGTTGTGTCTTTGTTCTCGTTGGTTTCAAAGAACATCTTTATTTCTGCCTTCATTTCGTTATGTACCCAGTAGTCATTCAGGAGCAGGTTGTTCAGTTTCCATGTAGTTGAGCGGCTTTGAGTGAGATTCTCAATCCTGAGTTCTAGTTTGATTGCACTGTGGTCTGAGAGATAGTTTGTTATAATTTCTGTTCTTTTACATTTGCTGAGGAGAGCTTTACTTCCAACTATGTGGTCAATTTTGGAATAGGTGTGGTGTGGTGCTGAAAAAAATGTATATTCTGTTGATTTGGGGTGGAGAGTTCTGTAGATGTCTATTAGGTCCGCTTGGTGCAGAGCTGAGTTCAATTCCTGGTTATCCTTGTTGACTTTCTGTCTCGTTGATCTGTCTAATGTTGACAGTGGGGTGTTAAAGTCTCCCATTATTAATGTGTGCTAAACTTTTTCATTGTTACTCTCTCTCTTGCTCTTTCTCTGTCTCTCCCTCTGCCTCTCTCTCACACACACATATCTTCAATATTTCGTTCTCTTGCTCTTTCTCTGCATACTTCCCTTTGACCCTCTCATTCAAGTGAGCAATTGCCTTTATTTCTCCATTAAATTCCTCCTGTGTATGGGCAACACTCCTCTCTCCATATGCTCATCTGGGGTACCTCAACCTCAGTTTCTTTACGTGTGGCTTCTGTCCTACCTCTCTATGCAAACTGCTTTCTTTGAGGTCTGGAGCAAAGTACTACTCACAAATCCAATGGCCTCTTGTTGGGCTACAGGCATTTCAGCCTCTCTCAAAACTGTGCACATTGCTGACCACTATTTCCTTCTTACATCTCTGCTTCCATAACATTATTCCCTTCTGGTTCTACTCCACCCTCTCTCATCTCTTCTCTGTCCCCTGTTATTGTCCCTAATCTTCCTTCCTGACACACAAGTACACATCCTCCTTTTCTGCTCCCTCTCTAACATATTCTCCCTCAATGATTTCATAAGCTTCCAAGTCATCTAAATAGTAAGAGAAACTCCATCAAACCCATAATGAAAGTGTTAATGAATATCAGTAGGTATTATACAGTAGGTTATCATTTAAAAGCTGTTCATTTTATACCTAAGAGATCAGGTTCAATTCCTCTATAAAAACTACTCTAACAATGCAACATTCTCTCATATGTTTTCCATGTATTTCCTAATCTCTTTTCCTGCCTCACAGTTTTCTAACATTCTAATGCTGAAACCCACATATAGCATGCATCTCTACACTGGTTTCCATCCCTAAGGAAATAATGTCCTACTTTAGGCTCTATTCCTTTTTGATCTAGACTATTGATACAGATTTTTTATTTACTTTTCTCCCTTCTTAAATGGCATTTTAAAATACTCTATAACCCGACATATCCGAAAATTTACTATGCTATTTCCAAACTACAGCAGGTGAAATCTCATTTATTTTTTAAAGTCAAATTCAAATACTGCCTTCTCCATGGACATTTAATCTCCTTGACAGCTTCCTTAAGAATTTCTTCATGCCTGCCCTATGGTGTTTATCACAATCTGCCTTGTTTTGCTATTGTTTGTATGAATTCCTTAACTCTGCTGCAAGATCATTTGGCTTTTGAGAGTAAGAGCCATATACTTGTTCATATTTGCATTTTCCATGGCATTAAGCATAGTGCCTTACACATAATGAGAGTATGCTGTAGTTTTCATTAAAAAATATTCCTATTAATAATATATAACATTAGAGAAAGCTCTATGGGAAAGCAGCACACACTAACTTAACAGATTTGTTGTTGAGGCTTTAAAACTTTTTAGGTCATAGACCTTTTGAGAGTCCATTCAAAGCTACAGAATTGCATGGACTTTTGAGATCCCATGAAGCCATTCATGAACTTCCGCTTAAGAACTGTTGGATTTGACTGTGTGTTATTATTATTATCATTATCGTTATAAATGTGGCCAGTTATCTCTAAAGAATAAAAGCTCAAAATGCCCAATGCCTGCTTTCCTTGGGTTTCAGTCAAGAGGGAGACCCTCCCTCTGAATATATCTTTCCCTAATTACCATACTGCCTAACATAGAAACAGGAAGTAAGTCAATCTGAGTACAGCTTTTCTAAAGCAGCACAGGTTCTGGATAATACGAGTAATAGTTGCTGAAGACACTGGTGAAACAGCTCTAAAAACAGCTGACATCCCAAAGACGCAAAGCAAGAAAGTCTAACAATTTTTCACATCTGTGTTCTTGTATTTGAATTGTTTGATCATCTGACTGAATTGTAAGTCTTATGCCAGTATAATATTTTTTCTTATTTTATGCAGCACTGGTTATATTGTGAGTACACAAGAATAATAACAATAATTAAGAAAATTAAAGTGGCAAAGCTTTTCATTTTTTGGTATTATTTACATGAATTAGATGGAATGCAAGTGGAAGTCTGCTCTGGAAGGGATTGAGATGTGCGGAGACCTTATTAGTGATATTTATTTGTGATATTTAAATGTTATTTTTATAGCAGTTTGGCATTGACATGTGGAATGTAATTTAGAAGGGGTGCAAGATGTAATTATTAAGTATTCTGAAGCTAATTACTTAGACAAAAACAAATATTTTATTATCAAAAGGATTACACATTCATTTACATAGTCTATTTAGGACATTCTAATAGTAATTGCTGTCCTTATTTGCCTAGACTGATGTGAGATACTCAAGGAATTTTTTTGGATATCCATATATAGCTCAGAAGTCATAAATACATTGGTCTCTCTATTTATTGTATATTCCTTCAATAATAATTTTATGATAAATATCTTCCATTTGCATAGGATTTTACAATTTGCAAATTACTTTCATATGCAGTGATTATCTCATGTTATCATTACCTTTTGAGCTAGATAAGTTATTATTAAGCAAATTGTAGATTAAGAAACTAAGATACAGGGTGCTACGGACTGAACTGTGTACACCTAAAATTTGTATGTTGAAGCCCTAACCCGCAATGTGACTGTATTCGGAGATAGGGCTTTCAGGAGGTAATTTAAGGTTTTAAAAGGCCGTAAGAATAGGATCTTAATCTGATAGGATTGATGGCTTTATAACAAAAGCAAAGGAGAGAGCTCTCCCTGTGTCTCTGTCCCACAAGGGATCACACAGTGAGAAGGCAACTGTCTACAAAGCCAGGAAAAGGGCCCTCACCAGAGCCCAATCACAATGATACCCTGACCTCAGACTCCCAGCCTCCAGAACTGCAAGAAAATAAATCTCTGTTAGTGAAGCCACTCAGTCTATGGTATTTTGTTATGGCAGCCAGAGCACTACAACACAGAGAAATCTGCCCCTAAAATCTCTTACGTTGTGGCATTGAATGTAGAACCCTCATTCCTCTCTTACTCCAGCACTATTCCCACGAGAATGTATCACCTTTGAAGAAAAAATTGTCAAGTTGGGAGTGATTTCATTTTTCTCAAAGAGTTAAATAAAGGGCAAGAAAGAAATCTGTACTCACATGAAAATGAAAAAATCAATGCACAGGAAAGAAAACAATAAATATTTAACTTGATGAAATCCTGTGGCCTTTGAAAGACGTTAATCCCCTATTGTGGCTTTTCTTCATCTTAGTTTGTAGTCAGGGGAAGGCGATTATCGAGTAAAATACCCTTATGTGCCCTGAGATCTCCCACAGGACCCTCTATCCTCTGAGACTCCACCTAACTGGGCTTCGTGCCCAAAACATCAGCAGTTCCAACCTAATAATAAAAACGAGCTGGAAAATCGTATGTAAAGTTCTGTTTCTAATACGAAGGATGAATAATATATTTTCAGGTCAAATATGAGAAGACATATAGGAAGAAATAGAGGAACTTGACAGTACTCAGGCCTGTTTTGCATTTATGAAAACTGGTAAACAGAGATACCTGAAATATGCTAGTCAGAATATAGCCTCTGAGATTGTAAAAACTCTTCTCTTACTCTTTTTGCTTCTGGGTAGGCAAAGATTAGAAACAGCATGAGGAGGAGGAAGAACAAAGTGGAAGATGGCAGGAAAAGGAAAGGGGGAAGGAAACTCTAGATCTTTCAGAAATGAAGTAAGAATTCAAATCAACAGAAATAAAAGTGTGTTTCCAGTCAGAATGGCTATTATTAAAAAGACAAAAAATAACAGATGCTGATGGGGTTGTGGATAAAAGGGAACACTTACACACTGTTGGTGGGAGTGTAAATTAGTTCAATGATTGTGGAAAGCAACATGGCAATTCCTCAAAGAGCTAAAAACAGAACTACCATTCAACCCAGCAATCCCATTACTGGGTATATACCCAGAGGAATATGAATCATTCTACCATAAAAACACATGCATGTGAATGTTTATTGAAGCACTATTCACAGTAGTGAAGACAAGCAATCAACCTAAATGCCCATCATTGGCAGATTGGGTAAAGAAAAGGTGGTATATATATTCCAAGGAATACTACACAGCCATAAAAAATAACAAGACCATGCCTTTTGCAGGAACATCGATGGAGGCCATTATCCTTAGCAAACTAATGCAGGAACAGAAAACAAAGTATCGCATGTTCTCATAAGTGGGAACTAAATGATGAGAACTCATGGACACAAAGAGGAAAGCAACAGACACTGGAGGACTACTTGAGGGTAAAGGGTGGGAGGAGGGAGAGGATCATAAAAAATAACTATTGGGTACTAGGTTTAATACCTGTGTTACTAAATAATCTGTACAACAAACCCCCATGACATGAGTTTGCCTATATAACAAACCAGCACATGTACCCCTGAACCTAAAATAAAAGTTAAAAAATAAAAAGTAATAAAAAAGCTAAAGCAATTCCAAGTACAATTTTTTTCACTGTAGCTTTTCATCATCATAATTTTCAAAAGGATGTCAGAAATAAAATAGTTCAGCAACTTCAAAAAAAAAGAAATAAAAGAGTGTTTAACTACAACTGTTTGGGCTACTCTAGCCACATTTATTTGCAATCTTTTGTCTTTTATTGCTTCATTTTAAAAAAATATTTTGATTTTGATAGATTGATAGATCAATAATTACTGTTGAAAGAGTTATGCTATAATGTAAAGTCATTTTTCTTTGCATTAAGTCAAATTTGTAGTATGATTTGAAATGGATTTGAAAGATTTTTCCATGTCCAGGCGATCTGAGACAAGACATGTCTTTCATCGCTTTGGGCTTAAGTGGTTGCAAACTCGTACTTTCAAGATACCATTGAACAGACTAGGAAGCTGAGCGTTTGAATATCAGAACTCCAACTCTCCCCACCTCCCTACCACCACCCACCCCTGCCAATGTTAGAAGAGCAGGGAAGCTACTGGAAATCTTTTTAAAGAAGTAACTGGCCTATAATACAAGGTAGCAATGGGAATGGAAGAGCTAGAAACAGAACATAGAGACTGCAGAAATATTTACACATGGTGGGCAAGGGAGAGGGAGAAATAAATAAATGATGAAGCCATTGGGGGTAGATGGAGTAATCCTAGAATAATCCTTTCATAAAATTTCCCCATCTACGTTCACGGCATCTCCATCTCTGTACGTTTTTCATGATCACACTAGACTTTTCTAGGGTCCTGCACTTGGTGTTCCTACAGCACTTTGTGCCTGCTTCATTGTAACACTTAGGCATTCAGAACATGGACTTCAATGTAAATCCAAGCTCTACCATTTACTAGTTGTGTGACCTTGAGCAAAGTAATTTAACTCTAAAATCTTTATTTTCTTCATTTGTAAAATAAAAATGGAATCTACTTCATAAATTTTTTTGAAATTAAAATTGTATAATGCATGGAAAAAGTGATTAGCAAATTGTCCGTCACACATGTCCTCAATAAATGTTACACTACTATTCATTTTAGCACTTATCACATTGTGTTTTAATCATTGTTTTATGTGTGTCTCCTACTCTATTTTGAGATCATCTAAGGCAGAGAATGTGCTCTATTCATTTTGCCAACCTGTAACTAGCATAGTTACTGGCACATAGAGTAGATAAATAAACAAATCAACAAGTATGAATTGAGAATTATATGAATAAATAAAAACAATTTTTCTCAGGTCTAAAAAATCCAGTCTGAGCTATATCTGAGGGTTAATTAGGATCTATGACCAAAGTTCTCAATGTTTATTTATTCATTCATTTATTCAAACAGAATTCCATGTTGTACCTACAACTGGGGCCAGGGTAGGAGTGGTCAAGGGGTGTTGGCATCTGCCCTTCTTTGGCCATTTAATTCTGTAGGCAGAGGAAAATCATTAAAATTTTTAAATAAAGGGGCAATAGAATCAGTGAAGAAGAGGCTGGATTGGAGGCCAAAGAGGAAGACTAGAGTAAGAGCAGCTAGTTAGTGGGCAAGAGAAAAAGTCCTTGGTTTTGACTAAAGCGTAATTCATGGGAGAAAGATCTAACTCTAAAGGCAATCAATAGACAGAACAGACAGAAACAGACAATCAACAGACAGAAACTGTCAGGCTTGTGACTGATTGAATGTAGGAAATGAAGGAGAAAAAAAAAATCTAGAGGACCTCTTTTCAATGTGTGAATAAAGAAATTGTGGAACCTTAATAGAGACTGGGCATTTTTCTTGAATGCAGTGCATTTTTTAAAATTACAGTAGAGTGGCTGGGCACAGTGGCTTATGCCCATAATCCCAGCACTTTAGGAGGCCGAGGCGGGCAGATCACACGGTCAAGAGATCAAGACCATCCTGGCTAACACGGTGAAACCCCATCTCTATTAAAAATACAAAAAATTAGCCAGGCATGGTGGTGGGCACCTATAGTCCCAGCTACTCAGAAGACTGAGGCTGGAGAATGGCATGAACCTGGGAGGCGGAGCTTGCAGTGAGCACTCCAGCCTGGGTCACAGAGCGAGACTCTGTCTAAAAAAATAAAAATAAAAAAAATAAGAGTAGAGTGATATATTTGTTAAATAAGAGAACCCACGAGTACTATAAAATCTGTATACAAGTTAGACTGTTTTTGGCCTGGGATACAGTTAAAAAAATACTCTGTATAGGTCAAATTACAGACATGTGTAATTTGACCTATACAGAGTATTTTTTTAACTGTACAAAAACAGTTTTTGTCTTCAGATAGGGCAGGAGCCCCCCCAAAGTATCCCAGTGCCCCCATTCCCTACCATCTTACATCATTAGGCACTGAAGAAGAAAATAGACTGATTTTCTCCTCTGTATGCAAATGCATTACCCAGGCCACTCAGATCAGAGTCAGTCCTACTACCCAGACCATACTTATTGTATATTCAGCCTTTATGCATGCACCTATTTGTGTACTTTTTAAAACGATGTAGAGGCCCAGATGTCTAAAAAACATTTTTCTTTTTTTTTATTTTTATAACTAAATGAAGTTCTGATATTATGGTAGGGTCCACCTGGTGGCAAGCTCTGTAGGTAAGGCTTTCCCTCCTTACCCCTCTTTTCCTTGAAGTTAATTTGACACACTGCAAAATGTCGCATCATAGATTGTTTCATGTGAATGTTGGGAGAGGAATAGGCTCATGACTCAATGATGGTCATCTACCTTGGGAAGCAACTATTGAGGAAGGAAAATCCTATATGGCCCATCGGCATGGCCCTCTCCCTACACAGGCACCCACCTGGGGTATGATTTCCTACCACATCCTCATCCCAGCTGTGGGCCCCCTTCTGGCCCACCAGCTCTTCATGCTCACTAGCACTTATGCCTTCCTCAGAGTATGGGAGAATTTGGGTGTTCTCATTGCTTTCGTGCCTTGGTGACACAGAACTCAGGTCACATCCCACTTAGCAGAGTCTGTTTTCAGACTCCACAACTTACAGGAGGCCCTCATCATCCATCATCCCTCTCCCCTCAGCTCTTGAAGCTGTCTTTTGGTTAGAGACGCCCATCAGCATCTCTTGCTCTTGATTTATGTCTAATCTGCTCCTCACTCTTCCAGTTGAGGAATCCTTTCAATTTTAGTATATGTGCTGCCAAAGTAAGCATCCAGTTGGGGACTCTTAATTTACTTGTTTTCACTCATCACCAATTCTTCAATGCCCACCTGCTCTCGATGTCCAGAAGACACAGGCTCTTGCAGTAACATTCTCTCACCATTTTTTTTTCTGAAGCTATTACCTCTGCCAGAGGCTTCAAGTGTCTACTTCGACATTCAAAGGCTGAGCACTAAATCATATCTTCCCTTTTGAATTTTTGCAATGAGGAGTATGTGGGGTTAGCCCTAGCTAATCACCAAGATGAGATTAGAAGGGACTGTGCAAGAGATATCAGAGAAAAAAGCAATTGAAATTCAATGCAGTATTCTGTCACAGATGCATATTTTGAGAATAAAATTGTCTCATTCTTTTCTTGCCTAGAATCCTGCTCCAAACACACCACACCACACACACACAAGTACACACACATCCAAGATGCTACCATAAAAGGTTTTCTAAGCATACTTTGTCTTTGTCACGAAGGGAAAGGAAAGGAACTAATATTTATTAAGTGCCTGCACCATGTGCCAGGCTCTTTGCTAGTTTCTTTTATATAAATTACCTCTTTTATTTTTGCCTAGGAAGAAAAGAACTTGTTTTTGCATTGTCCCTAAGTGCACCATTGCTAAATTTTCCCTATCCTGCCCCTGCAGAGAAATTCTAACATTCACCAGAAAGTCCTTGTGCCAAAGCACTCCCAATTTTTTCTCCATGATTTCATTTCCACCCTCCTGGTTCAAGTTTGCAGCTGGCATTGGGAGCAGATAGCAGTTATTCCAAAAGGAATAACCAACCCTTTGCCCAAATGATCTGAAAGAGATGAGAGCACACCCAACCCTTGAGGTCAGTTTGGATTCAGGTTAGATTCTAAGGCTATCTCAGAGCCAAACTGGCATAAACATATACCATAATTACAAAGCTAATAAAGTTGGTAAGAATGTCCTCTGACTCATATGGTTTTCATTAATCCAAAACATATTTAAGTGCCTACTCTACTATGTGGTAGAATGTACAGAACATAGGATCATCACATATGTAATATCTACCTTTTGGGAGTTCTTAGAATTCCTGTATAGTCCCAGGTGTATCTGTTTCATATAAAAACAAACCATTAAACAAAAATTTTACACTACCATGTAATTCTTTTCATCTAAACAATGCCTCCCCACAAGGTATACCAAAGATATTTTTCCATTGATTTTTTTTCTCCCACTCAATTAACTAGCATTCTGATTAAAAAGTAGAGGAATTATCAGTGATTGTGACATGACGTGATAAAGCCCTTGGCTCTATCTCACCTTCCTTCCACTCTAGAAAGGCCTAGGTCGGACACCAAGGATAAAAAAGCAAGAGTGTCTATCTCATGTTTTAATCCGCAGCAGTCAAAAGGGCTTTGTCTTCGCTGGAGGCGATTTCATGAGCCTTCCCAGAATTTCTCCTTTAGAAACCCTACAGTTAGTTTCTCCAAAATCTTTATAAGTGAATGAATAAATAAGCACTGGCAGTGAAGATGAAGGATAGAATTGATGTTTATGAATGCCACTGATGTTATTTTAATTTGGGGCTTGCAATTACTGACACTTCCTTTTATTTAAAATAAATGTCAGTCAACAAAGAGTTGTTACTCTCCTTTGAGAATCTTATGGGATTCCATTAATCATGTATAATGATTTATATCTTTCTTAATGGTCCAAAGGAAATAATTTAGAAACCCATGCCATAATTAATATAGTCTCTTGAGTACTTATGCCGAGCAACTCCAAAAAATGTCTCTCTCTGTCTACTCTTATTAGTTAACTGATGTTCTGTTTTCCCTATCGTTTCACTATGGAAATTTTTATGTATAAATGTTTGTTTCATCATCATCATTTAAAACTTTCATTATGAGTTGTGACTATAAAATAATGAAGCCAACTTTCAATTTTGTCACTATATAATAATATTTTCTAAATTGTTTTCATTCTTTTTAATAGCAAACATCAAGTAACTTAAAAGAGAGAAGAAGGAAAACACAAATTGTAAAACCAAAATTGGTCAAACTGGGCAAGTTTCAGCCTGGTCTGCTGAGAAGACCACAGAGATTTAGAAGCAAAAGGCCCATGTTTGACTTCTGGTTCAGCTTCTTATGTACTAACAGCCGGGTCAAGTTGCTCATTTGGGGATCCTTTTGCTATGAGATGGAAATATCAGCATTTCCCAGAATCTTATAGTAATAAAAGAGTTCATTAATAGTGTGTAACAGAGCTTAGCACCATCCCAGGAACATGGAAGGTATGCAATAAGCTTCTCTTCCTGTCCACCTCCATTTCTACCTTTCCTCTTCCTCCTTTCCAGAGCTATGTGCAGGTTTCCAGAGGCACAGTATTTTTTTAATTTCAATTCAGAGGAAGAGATATTCTCAACAGAATAATAGGGTTCCCAGCAAGTAGTTGGAGTATAGGAAGCAACGGGTGGGAGACGGCATTCAACATGAAGGAGGGCCTGTGCCAGGTCCACAACAACCAGGCTGATGTTTAGGAATGAGCTCTAATCCCTAGGAGGTGACCTGACAAGAAATAAGGCAGGGTCTCAGTCTAGGAGGACACTGAGACACTGGACAGAAACCATAATTAGATGGACAAGGATCAAGGCAGAATGCCAGAAATGTGTCTTAGAACACTTCAAACAAGTGGATTTTAAAGACGAAGAGCAATCCACTCACCAGGATTGAAGCACATAGAGGAAAAATTGGGGCTTGGAAATGAGACAGGGGCCCAACCATAAGAAGTGGAATGCCCCATTAACATCAGGCAGGTGTCTGCGTGACTAAGTGCTGAGTCCCACGATATAGGCAGGAATGAGCCTACAGGCAGGAATGAGCCTATAGCGGGGAATTCAAGAGCCTACCCTGGAGTGAAAATAGAAAACAGTCTAGACTTGAAAAATACCTGTTTAGATGTTATCAAGAGTCTTACAAACAAATTTAAATGGACGCATTCTATGCCTTCTAAGATTTTATTGTGAGAAGTAGAAGGCCACAATGAGAGCAGTCTTGCTGTAGGGAAGATGTGTGAGTCATATACAAGCCTAACAAAACAAGGTTTTTTTATTTATTTTTCATGCAAAGAGAGGATGAGTTTCATATTGGAGAGACAGATAAAGAGAGATTCTTAGAAGAACTGGGGGGTTTGGAGCTGTTTGGCTGGGCAGTATGAGATAAAGATATGGAGTAAGCAGTATTTTCTAAATATAAAATGTAGTTTCGGAGAATACACAAGAAAGCACAGAAAGAATGTTAAGTACAGTGGATTTTAATTAATTTGTATAAGAGGGACAGAGGAATCAAAATCAGTAGGAAAAGATTTAAGAACCAAGGTAATCCAGACACCAAGTGCATGAAATCTAATGAATCCAAGGTAGCACTACCAGAAAAGGACTCAACTTTAATTTTCTATGGGACTGAGAGCAAACCTGCATTTTTATAGCAGCTATCATCCTCGAATTCTTCATATTAATTCCATAAAAGGAAACAGGCAGAGGGATGAAAACAATAAATAATGCATTCTACATATTCCTGATCTTAAGAATATTAGCTGAAATTATATTCTAGACTAATCTTCCATTCATTCCAAAGAGCTATGTGCATTTATGTACTAATTGGTCAGTTTGGGAAAAAAACAAAACACACATTCATGAAAATGGTAATTTTGTAGTAGAAGAACGGTGCCTGTGATGAAAAATGACCTCTTTAGAGGTGACTTGTAGTAGCTATTTGAGAAAGGTAAGCAACTCTTGGTTAAAGGCATAGGATTTTTATGCTATGTGTTATTTTAGCCAGATATGTGAAATAAATTCTGTTGAACATACTGAGGACTTCCCACTTGGACTCCTTAACTAAGTGGGTAAATAGAATGTTTATCTGGGTAAGAAGAAAAGGCACTAAACCAGAAATTTGAAAACAAAGATTTTAAATCCAACTCCTATAAACTTAAAAGTATTGTTTTTGTCAAATCATTTAACCTTTCTTTTCTTCTATTTTTTCATCTCTAAAGTAATGCCATACTACTTTAGTCCTCCACAAACCCTCTTAACTGTAACATTTATTGTCATAACCATCCATTTGACCCCTAGCATATGACTGATGTATTGAAGATCTACATCCTCAGAGAGAGATTAAACTTTCCAGAAAATCCATCTTACGTATTGTTAAATGGATGTATTCTATGCCTTTTAAGATCTTATTTTGAGATTTTCACATATTGTTGAAAATAAAAATTCCACAAAGCAAGAGAAAAATTTATTAGCTATTTTACACTCTATTAAAAACATAACTAATGACTTTGAATTTTGTCAAATATAGTAATTCAAAATTTTGCAAACAGATTATTACCAGAATAAATACTGGGGTCTGGTGAACACTAAATAAAGATTCTGCTTTCAAGGAAAAGATAAAGTTCCATTAAAAAAACCTATAAAGTGCATGAGCAGATCTTGATATTGTTTTTAAATCATGATAGACTTGCAGCCGACTGCCAGTGAATGTGGTAAATAGAACATACATTTATCTCTCTCATATTTACCTTTTACTTTCTTTCTTTACAAAAATGGGGATTTTTTTAAAGTTTATGCTCTCAATTTCACAAAAAAAAAGAAAGAAAAGACCTCAGATGTGTCAACAATAGTTTGGAAGACTAGAATCAAAATAAACTGTAACCAACTGTAAAACAGAGGAAGCTGAAACCTAAGGGCTTGTGGAGGGTAATGCAAAATGCAGAAGGGCTCGAGGAAAGTAGAAATTGGAACTGGGATAGGAAGAATGATCCACAAGTCTTGGGAAGACATTTGATACTTGGCTCCAGTTGGTACAGTCAAGTGACTTCCCCTCCCCAACTCTCACAGAAGCCAAGCTATTTATCCTCTGGAGATCTTGGAAGAAGGCAGCTCTGTGCCTGAGACCAAGATAATGGTTTGGGGTTGCAATGAAAGCAGATAACTTGGGAGAAGTTTACATCCCCTGCTCTGCTCTTGTTATGCTGGCAGACAGGTTTGTATCCTCCAGGGAAGAGATAGAAGGTTTCCTTTTTACCAGCCAAAAGAAAAGCTATGGGCTGGTAGAGATCTCCCAGGCTCATCCAGTCACTCTCAGTGAGCCCTACCACTATGTGCACTGCCATTCAATTTTAAGTGCTTCATTCTTGAAATCAACACTCAGGGACCACCAGGCATTTGAGGAAAGGCTCTAAAAAGAGTAGTTTTTTGTTTTATTTATTTATTTATTTATTTTTATTTTTTATTATACTTCAAGTTTTTGTTTTAAAAAAAGAAACAGAAATATACAAGGCAGATAGCAGGAAAAAAATTCATTAAAAATATATAATTAAAATATTCAAAGATACTACTCCTGGAAATTAAAGATGACTATAATTAAATTGAAAACAAAAAGAACTGTAATATAATATTGAAGAAATCTCCCAGAAAGCAGAACAAGAAAACACAGAGATAGAAAATAGGGGAGAAAATGTGAGAAAACTAAAAGATCCAATCAGATTACATATCTGAATGATGAGAGTTCCAGAAAGAAAACAAAAGAAATGGAAGAGATTATTAATACAAGAAAGTTTCACAGAAACAAAATACATGACTTTGAAGATTGAAAGAACCTACAAGTGCCCAGTAAAATAAAAACTGAAAATAACAAGAACATTCTAAAAGCTTCAAATGACAAAAAAGGGGCTACCAATAGCATAGGGAATCCAAGTGTTGCCAGACATCATATCAGCAACCCTCGAGGTGAAAAGCAGGGGAGAAATCTCTTACATTTTTTAAGAAAAATTATTTTCAATCTAGAATTTTACATTGAACTAAATACTTAGTCAAGTAGGCAGGTAGAAAAACAATCTTATTGGACTTGTTTGTTTTCAAATATTTTACTACACTCTTCCCCCACCCAAATCTCATTTTGAATTGTAACTCCCACAGTTCCCATGTGTTGTGGGAGGGACCTGGTGGAAGTTAATTGAATCATGGAGGCAAGTCTTTCCCAGGCTATTCTCGTGATAGTGACTATGTCTCATGGGATCTGATTGTTTTAAAAAGGGGAGTTTTCCCGCACAAGTTTTCTTCTCTTGCCTGCTGCCATGTCAGACGTGCCTAGCACCTTCCGCCATGATTGTGAGGCATCCCAGGCCACGTGGAACTCCCGGGCCACGTGGAACTCCTGGGCCACGTGGAACTGTAAGTCCAATAAACCTCTTTATTTTGTAAATTGCCCAGTCGTGAGTATGTCTTTATCAGCAGCATGAAAATGAACTAATACACTTCCCTTTTGCCTTTTCTCAATAAACTATTAGAGCAATGGTTCCCAAAGTGTGATTTAGACACCTGGGAAGCTCTGAGACTCTTCTCAGGGAGTCCACAAGGGCAAAGCTATTTTCACAAAAATGCTAAGGTGTCACTTGTCTTTTTCTCTCTCATTCTTTCATAAGTGTATAGTAGGGTTTTCCTAAGGCTACATGATGTTTGACATCATGATAGCTTGAAAGGATGGAGTCTCACTCTGTCACCCAGGCTGGAGTGTAGTGGCTCGATCTCGGCTCACTGCAACCTTCATCACCTGGGTTCAAGTGATTCTTGTGCCTCAGGCTCCCAAGTAGCTGGGAGTACAGGCACGTGCCACCATGCCCCGCTAATTTTATTGTATTCTTAGTAGAGATTGGGTTTTGCCACATTGGCCAGGAGGGTCTCGGATTCCTGGCCTCAAGTAATACATCCACCTCGGCCTCCCAAAGTGCTGGGATTACAGGAGTGAGCCACTGCGCCCACCTGAAAATCTGGCATTTTTTAATTCAACCAGACATTAAATAGATTATCCAAAATGTAAAACAATGACACTCCTCTCACTAATTTTTATTGTATTTATGTGAACATGCAATGTGTTCTTTACCACTGTTTTAAATTAAGTAATATTATTAAATTTTTCAGTTTTAATTTTACCATATAAAATTAGTAAGTATAACCCACTTAAACAAAACCCTTTGAGGGCTTCAGTAATTTTCAAGAGTGTGAAAGAGTCTTGAAACCAAATGGTTGAGAAAGGCTATTCTAGAGGATGTACTCCACTAAGCAAGGAAAGATGCAGGCATGAGATCTAGAATAACTTAGAGCAGTGCCAGCATTTAATGTAAAAATATAAAAGTATGGCCAGGCACAGTGGCTCACACCTGTAATCCCAGCACTTTGGGAGGCTGAGGCAGGTGGATCACCTGAGGTCAGAAGTTCAAGACCAGTCTTGCCAACACTGTGAAACCCCATCTCTACTAAAATACAAAAATTACCCAGGCATGGTGGCACACACCTATAATCTCAGCTACTTAGGAGGCTGAGACAGGAGAACTGCTTGAACCCAGGAGGTAGAGGTTGCAGTGAGCCGAGATCACGCCACTGCACTCCAGCCTGGGTAACAGAGAGGGACTCCATCTCCAAAAATAATAATTAAAAAAATAAAAGTATAGCCCCCCAAAATTACTGAAAGTATTAAAGGTGGTTTCCTCTGGGAATTTAAAAGGGGTGGAAGGACAAGGGACTGCAATTTGCCTATAAGTTGTATAATTCTTTAATTAAATGCATTGGTAGTAATATTAATTTCTAATAAAACATTAAAAAGTGAAAAGAAAGAGAAAAAAGGCTTGCAGCTTATACCTAGAGATTTACATAACAGACATAAAAACATACCTTCTATGAAAAACGCAGCCTACTTGATGTGCCTCCAGAGATGTTGACATCTTTCTCCTGCTAGGCAGTAGACGTTTTGAAGGCTGGGATTGTATTGCTGACTACTTTAGCCTTAACATCCAGAATGCTCACTAAACTACCCACTAACCCACCACAGAGAAAATTAGTTAACGTTATAGTGTAAATTCTCCTAGAATATTTCCTGTTCATAGGATTTGTGTTAGTTTGTTTTTGCTAGACTTGGTATCAGAATGATGATATATTTATAAAATAAATTTGGTAGTTTTTCAGCTGTTATGTAACAGTTAAATGCAATTATTAAAAGAACTTACCAAATAATTAAAAATAACTTTATGTTTAATTCTACTTTATCTTAATGTTTTACATAATTTTTATCTAATTGCTAAAATCTATAACCAAAATTATTTTTAAGCCCAATATATGGAAGATGAAGAATTCAATACTTTCATTTTTTTCTCCAATGGTTACCTTCTCATTTATCATTAATCTCTCTTATAATATAGAAAGTTCCTTCAGATAATGTTATAACATTGTTTCTAACTACTTTTTCGATGAAGTAATTTTAATATTTATTATTTGTCTTTTCACACTTAGTAATTTATTTTTTTTTTATTTTTCAGTTTGAGAAGGCTCCAGAATCACTAGCTGGGCCAATTGGTGAGGGTCTTCTCTTATTAGAGTCTTGTGCATAAAGACTAAGAGATTTGGGTTTTTTTTTTTTTAATGCAAAGACACCAACACAAAGAGTCAAGAAAAATGAAGAAATAGAGAAATGCATCCCAAAGAAAGAAACAAGTTAAAGCTCCAGAAACTGACCCTAATGAAAAAGAGATATATGAATTACCTGACAGAGAATTCAAAATAATTGCCATAGAGATGTTTATCAAACCCGGGGGCCAGGGGTGGGGGCTATTGCATAAACAAAGTGAAAATCTCAACAAATAGATTTAAAAATATTACAAATAACCAGACAGAAATCTTCAAGCTGAAGAATACATTAACTGAATTGAAATTTTTTCTAGAGGTGTTGAACAGCACACTAGATAACAAAGAAAAAAAATCAGTTAATTTAAAGAAAGGCCATTTAAAATTATCCAGTCAGAGATGCAATAAGGAAAAAAAATTTGAAAAAGAGTGAAAAAAGCTTAAGGGACTTATGGGATACCATTAAGTGGACCAGTATATGCACTGGTCCATTAAGTGGACCAGTATATGCACTGGTTCATTAAGTGGACCAGTATATGCACTGGGTTAGGAAAGTCATAGAAGGAGAATAGAAAAAGAAAGAGCTATACAGCTAATTCAAATAAATGATGGTCAAAAAATTCTCAACTCCTCTGAAGAAAATGGACATTCAGATGCAGGAAGCCCAACAGATCCCAAATAGAATGAAACCAAAGAAATACACAATGAGATACATTCTAATCAAATTGTCAAAAATTCTTGCAAAAGAATTTTGCAAGCAGCAGGGGAAAACTGACTTATCATATACAAGGGAATTCATAAAATATACAGGAATTTCCATGGGCTGTCAGCAGATTTCTCAGTAGAAATCTTGCAGGACAGAAAGGAGTCGGATGATATTTTCAAAGTGCTGAAAGAAAAGCACTGGCAATAAGAATGTTCTATCCAGCCATGCTGTCTTTTTAAAACACTCACATGATATACAAAAAATCAACTCAAAACGGATTAAAGAAACATAATATCTGAAACTATATAACTAGTAAAAGTAAACAGGGGGAGAACTACACAACATTGGTCTGAGCAATAATTATTTTTAATCTGATGAATAAAGAACAGAAAACAAAAGGAAAACTAGACAACTATGATTAGATCAAAGCTAAAAGCTTCTGTACATCAAAAGGAACAACTAACAGAGTGAAGAGACAACCTACAATTAGGGAGAAAATATTTTCAAGTCATACATCTGATAAGAGGCCAATATCAAAAATATATAAGGAATTCAAACAACTCTATAAAAAGAAAACAAATAGTCTAATTAAGAAATAAGCAAGTGGCCTGAATAGACATTTCTCAAAAGAAGACATGAATGGGTAACAGAAATATGAAAAAAATGTTCAACATCACTAATCATTAAGGAGATACAAATTAAAACTCCAATGAGATATGATCTCACACTTATTAGAATGGCAATTATCAAAAAAGACACAAGACAACAAGTGTTGGTAAGGATGTAGAGAAAAGGGAATCCTTGCACACTATTGGTGGAAACATAATTTAGTGAAGCCATTATGAAAAACAGTATGGAGTTTCCTCAAAAAACTGAAAACTGAATTACCATATAATTCAGCAATCCTACTTCTGGGTATTTACCCAAAAGATTTGAATATGTGAAATCAATATGTGTCGCATTCCCAGGTTCATTGCAGCATTATTCACAAT